>NC_000023.11:89432238-89735269 GCF_000001405.40 Homo sapiens | reverse complement strand
AAAAGATCATATGCCATGATCAAGTGGGTTTTATACCAGGGATGCAAGGATAGTTTAACATACACAAGTCAATAATTGTGATACATTACATAAACAGAATTAAAAACAAAAATTATATGATCATCTCAATAGACACAGAAAAAGCATTTGACAAAATCCAGCATCCCTTCATAATTAAAACCCCCAGCAAAATTGGCATAGAAGGGACATACCTCAAGGAAGTAAAAGCCATCTATGACAAACCCACAGCCGACATTATATTGAATACAGAAAAGTTGAAAGTATTCCCCCTTGAGAGACAGGACTAGCTGGATTTCCTAGGCCGACGAAGAATCCCTAAGCCTAGCTGGGAAGGTGACTGCTTCCACCTTTAAACACGGGGCTTGCAATGTAGCTCACACCTGATCAATCAGAGAGCTCACTAAAATGCTAATTAGGTAAAAATAGGAGGTAAAGAAATAGCCAATCATCTAATGCCTGAGAGCACAGTGGGAGGGACGATGATTGGGATATAAACCCAGGCATTCGAGCCTGCAATGGCTACCCTCTTTGGGTCCCCTCCCTTTGTATGGGATCTCTGTTTTCACTCTATTTCACTCTTTTGCAACTGCACTCTTCTGGTCCATGTTTGTTATGACTCGAGCTGAGCTTTGGCTCGCTGTCCGTCACTGCTGTTTGCCGCCGTCACAGACCAGCCGCTGACTTCCATCCCTCCGGATCCCGCAGGGTGTCCACTGTGCTCCTGATCCAGTGAGGCACCCATTGCTGTTCCCGACTGGGCTAAAGGCTTGCCATTGTTCCTGCACGGCTAAGTGCCTGGGTTCATCCTAATCAAGCTGAACATTAGTCACTGGGTTCCACAGTTCTCTTCCATGACCCAGGGCTTCTAATAGAGCTATAACACTCACCGCATGGCCCAAGATTCCATTCCTTGGAATCCCTGAGGCCAAGAACCCCAGGTCAGAGAACACGAGGCTTGCCACCATATTAGAAGTGGCCCGCCACCATTTTGGAAGCGGCCCACCACCATCTTGGGAACTCTGGGAGCAATGACCCCCTGGTAACACCCTGAAAACTGAAAGAAGACAAAGATGTCCACTTTCACCACTTCTAGTCAACATAGAACTGGAATTCCTAGCCAGAGCAGAGAAGAGAAAGAAATAAAGGCCATCTAAATCAGTAAAGAAGAATTCAAACTGTCGCTGTTTGCCAAGGATATAATCGTATACTCAGAAAACCCTAAAGACTCGTCCAAAAACCTTCTAGACCTGATAAACAAATTCAGCAAAGTTTCAAGAAACAAAATCAATCTTCACAAATCAATAGCACTGCTATTCGCCAACAAGGACCAAGCTTAGAATTAAATCAAAAACTCAATCTCTTTCACAACAGCTGATATACCTAACCAAGGAGGTGAAATATCTCTACAAGAAAAATTACAAAATACTGCTGAAAGAAATCATTAGCTACACAAACAAATGGAAACACATCCCATTCCCATAGATGGATAGAATCAATATTGTGAAAATGACCATAGTACCAGAAGCAATCTAGAGATTCAATGCATTCCGGTACATCTCAATTATCTTCTTTAGATGTTTAATAATATTCTTAGCATTTTAATGCTATAAATACATATATAATTTTTATTTTATTTATTTCACTTTTATTTTGCTTTATTTATTTTGGCTTGGTTTACAATTAAAAACTGTAAATTATATTCATCAACTGCAGAGTTTCTGGAGCATTTTTGCACCCTACTTCATTATGTTACTTCAGTATTTTCCATCACTATCAATTTTGAGATTTTTTTTCTTTATAGAAAGTGGCATTTTCACAAAAATAAAGATGATTGTTTGCTAAATTAGACAAATTAAGAACTTGTTATTTTCTCTGTTATACCTAAAATCTCTTACAGTAGGAAAGTATAATATAGAATTGAATTAAAATTTAGGCTGATGAAAAGGTGAAAACCTCAGGAATGGCATTATTCTACAGAAGAGTAAAGTTTTCTACTAATTTTTAGTAATAAATAAATCTGCCGGGCATGGTGGCTCAACGCCTGTAATCCCAGCACTTTGGCAGGCTGGGGCGGGTCGATCACCTGAGGTCAGGAGTTCAAGGCGAGCTTGACCAACATGGTGAAACCTGGTCTCTACTAAAAATACAAAAATTAGCTGGGCATGGTGGTGGGTGCCTGTAATCTCAGCAACTGGGGAAGCTGAGGCAGGAGAATCACTTGAACCTGGGAGGTGCAGGTTGCAATGAGCCGAGATCCCGCCATTGCACTCTAGCCTGGGCAACAGAGAGAGACTCCATCTCAAAATTAATTAATTAATTAATTAATCCACTAGGTAATGTTGGGAGAGAATATTCAATACATCATTTTGCCACACAAACATCATTCTGATTCTGTTTTCATCAATGCATGTATTTTAAGAAAATGAAATTAAGAAAAATATTTTGTTAAACTGTCCAAAGTTAAATAATGCTTCGTTTGATTACCTTGGATAACATGCATTGTTAATCCGAGAGGACAATAGAAACTCTAAAATTCTTTAGAAAAATTATGTTTGAAATTAAGATCGCTTGAAAATCTTGATAATGAAATATACATGTTTTGCTAAAATTTAATGTTTCTGACCAAAGCAATGCAATTTAGAATGTTTCAAAAATAAAATTCTTTACATACAAATTATTTTTATAAATGTGCTTGTAATAATAAATAAAATTAAACTTGATGAGATAAGATTTAAAGTGCTTGGTTTCCCTATGAATAATTTAGAAAAATATATTTGTAGGCAATTTGTCTGTCACATCAACAAATATTTATTTGCTATATATTTTTGAAAATTGTCTTCATGATATTTCACATGTGTGTATTACATACAATCATAAAAAATACAATTAAGTCGTTAGGAAAAGAATGTTCAAAAAAGCATCACAATAACTTGAATTTGAATTTTAAACATGTTGATTTAAATAACCAAATTTGAATTTGTATTTATACAGTATATATTTTAAGCAGGTTTCTAAGTATGTGACATCCCAATGTTCCCCATTTAAAAGTCTTGCAAAAGATGTATTCTCGATCTTTAATTTTATATTCACTTTTGTATCCTACTCTTGATTTGGTAGCATAAAAATAATAAAAATTATTTCAGCAAGAACAACTGTCATGCAGAATCCCAGACAAGTTGTAATTTTAACATAACATTTCACTTAAATACAGCTTAATTAATTCACTGCTGATCATTTTTATTATAATAGGGTAACATTTTACTTAAAGTTGCTACACAGATAAGGAAACACTGTATCTGGGTAATTGGAGCATTTACCTGCATTTTTTTTCTGCCTTTTTCATTATTATTATGTTGAAGATGAAATGGTCTAATGAGGAAAATAAGTCAATCAAGATCAACTACTATTTATTTCTTCAGTTGTAAACTGAATCAAGTTGAAGCAAATTTATCAGATTATTTAATCTTAAAAAAAGTTTCTAAACACTATTTTGTATTTGAAAAAAATTGAAACATATTGCTAAATAACAGTTTAGGTTTTATTTCTAAAAGGAATATAAAAATACCTCTATCAACACTATTTTAAATATGATACTTTGATTTTTTCTGTCTATCCATTAAGATTTTTCTTAATTCTCCACTCTAGAGTATGTATCTCTTCTCATATCATGCACATTCACTTAAGGTTAGTTATTACATCCTAAACATCAGAAATATACCCATTTATTTACTTTAATATTTGTCTACCCAGTAGACTGCAACATCTATAAAATCAAAGTACATCCTGATAGAACCTAATGGAAAGAGCCTGGGATCTGGTGCCAGCCTACCTAGTTTGTATCCTAGTTATACCACTTGTTAGATATGGAAACTTGGACAAGTTATTTAAACTCTCAGTGTCTCAATTCCTTATGTGAGAAACAAAGATCATCCTCAAAGAGTTGTGAAAATTTAATAAATATATTAAATATATTAAATGCTTTGCCCAACACAATGTAAGAACTATATAAATGTTAAGCATTATTTGTTGCTGTAGTCTTAACCCTTTTTCCCAGTGTCTAGTAGAATGTTTGACACATGGGGCATGTAACGAACATTTGTTGAATAAATGCATGAATAAATACATAAATATTCAGTACTTCTAATAGCGTATCAGTGATGGCGCTTCACACAGAGACTAAAGAGGAAAAGGTTTAGTCTAGTAGGTGAAACAGACACATGAATAGGCAGAATGGTAAAAATAAAAATAAAAAATTACAATAAAGTTTGTATAGTAACACATCAGAGAAGATGCTATCCCTACCTAGAAAAACAGGGAAGTTCTCTGGACAAATATAATAGCAGTATAATAGATGAAAAACCACAATAATATTGAAAAAATCTAGTTTTAGTAGACATTCTACACTTTCTCTTCGGAAATTTATCAATATGAGGAGATTTATTATTTTTTAGTTCTCTAGTTCTCTGTGTAAGTAATTTTTATTATCCTACCTAATTGGAGGAGGGCAGGGATTGAGAAGAGAAAATACTTGTGGAAAGTCAATATATACTATAAAACATTATGTAAGCATAAGGTTTCTTTTTTGGTGGTATAAATGTTCATACAGCAAAAAGTGCATCAGCTGGCTGAACAGCCACTACATGTTCTTTTCAACCTGTTTTAAGAGCACTCTAAATATGGTAACAGCAAATGTTTTATTATTTCAGTTTATTTCATAATTTTGTCTCCATTCATTCTTTAACTTCTTCTTGTGAATTTGTCTTTATTGGAATTCCAAATCAAACAAATTACACAAGTGAATAACTGCTGCATTTTAATGTCTAAAGAAGAAAGAAAAAACCTTAGGTTTTGTAAACATAGTTAAAAAGCAGACTGTTGGCCTGGCGCGGTGGCTCAC
Organism: Homo sapiens; assembly: GCF_000001405.40. Lineage (NCBI taxonomy): Eukaryota > Metazoa > Chordata > Mammalia > Primates > Hominidae > Homo > Homo sapiens. The sequence continues at coordinate 89,730,351 of NC_000023.11, read as the reverse complement.
GCCTGTAATCCCAACACTTTGGGAGGCCGAGGCGGGCGGATCACCTGAGGTGAGGAGTTCGAGACCAGCCTGGACAACATGGCGAAACCCCGTCTCTACTAAACATACAAAAATTAGACAGGCGTGGTGGCAGGCACCTGTAATCCCAGCTACTCAAGAGACTGAGGCAGGGAGAATTGCTTGAACCTGGGAGGAGGAGGCTGCAGTTAGCCGAGACGTTCCATTGCACTCCAGCTTCAGTGACAGAGCGAGACTCCAGCCCAAAAAAAAAAAAAAAAAATAGCAGACTGTTTTGCAGATGTGTTAACAGTATGTAATTCTTTTAGGATCACATAAAAAGAGAATTTGGATAAATATAGAATACATAAATACAAATCTGTAAGAATATGTTTTATATTATTTTCTGGTATTTTTTAAACAATAAATATTTAGTGTGAAATAAAGGTGAAATGCAGATTAAGATAATTTCAAGGCTTTAACTCTTAGATCAGCCAAAGGTTTCTACTGTGTTGATCTGGCGTTAGACACTATTTACATTTCAAGTGAATAGTTTTAGATGACTCTAATTAAAAATAATTTCACACTTTCCAAAACTTTTTTTTTTCTGGTATCAAGTAACTTTGAAAAACATTTGTAGTCTCTGGATGCCAGATGAGTCTAGCAATGAGAGAATCAGCAGATAACAATTTGCCTAAGGGAAATTTAGCTCCCTAAATCATGCTTGGCATGGAAGTATAATTAGCCATTTGCTCACATTCTGTGTCTGTTTGCTTACTTGCTTATTTAAATGAGTTCTCATCCTTTCTATTACAAATCGCTATTTATTTTGGACTAGAGTTGTCTTATCTGAAGCTTATCTTAATATTTTCAGAGTACCTTGGAATACCCTAATATATGCTTCTTCATATTTTCAGCTAAAACTCTGCTCATTAGTCTTCTATATATTAAGATATTAAACTTTACTTCATAGCTTTTCTAAATCACAGAAGCCTGAACATAAAACACTTGAAACTTACAAAATGCTATATTCTTAGACTTTGATTAGAAGGAGCTTAGAAGTTGTCACTCTGACCTAACAAGTAAAAAGATAAACAAACTGAAATAGCAGCAACTCTTTTTGTCTCTGTCAAAGAAGTGAGGTCACAGGTCAACATGCTGCCTAAAAAATTGGAGGGATAGACAAATGATTTATAGAAAATTACAATTTATCAGAGCAAAAACCAAACAGCAGAAACCTCTGCAAGAACCAATGCTAGGGTAGGAAAAGCTAAACTATAATTGAAGAATTGGTGAAGGCTTAGTGTGGACAAGCCTGAGAGTTAAAATTTTCACAGGGACCTAGTCATGGGGGGCAGGGTTGAGACTTTAGAGAGTTTTTTCCTCAGGATTTCAACCATGTTGTCACAGGGAATAATAGAGAATAATCCCCTTATGCTTCTAGCAGGTATTGGGATAAAGTAATCATTTGAAAATATGCCAGAATAGTCTGTTCTCCTTAACCCGGCCTGCTCTCAAAAGAAACAATTTTAGCAAAGCCCAAGTTATTTATTTATTCATTTATTTTTAATTTTTTTTTCAGAAGCAAGCCAATTTAGGGAAAGGAAAATATCCAACTTCAGTCTGCCCCAGCTATCCTGTCCCAGTAAAGGTTGGGGAACTAATAAACACTTGTGAAGTTTATAGTCAAGAGGCATGGGCTACACAGTGCTTCCTTTTGCCTCATACCTTACCATCACGTTACCAACGGCCTACTTGCTGCAGTTTTCTCTACATGGTAAATTATGTGTGGCTCATAAGAAAAAAAAAAAATCCAAGACGTACTAGAGGGTAGAAAACACAGTTTGAAGAGACAAAGCCAACATCAGAACCAGAATCAGATACTGAAATGATCAGAATGGGAAATTAAACACTTTGATTAACATGATAAAGGATTTAATGGATAAATTAGCATGTAAGAACAGATGGAAAACGTAAACAGAAAGATGAAAATTCTAAGAAAAATTTTAAAAAGTGAGAGATCAAAAGCACTGGAGCAGAAAGAGATAATGCCTTCTATGGGCTCATTAATAGACAACTTGGGTGAGGATATGCCAATCTTTGAGCTTTAGGATATGCCAAGAGAAATGCCAAAAACTGTAAAGCAAAGATCAAAAAGAAAAATACAAACAGAATAAACTGTGGAAAATTATACAAAAGATGTAACATTGATGTACTGTGAATTGCAGAAGGAAAAGGAAAAGAAAAATGAACAGAAGAAATATTCGAAACAATGATGATCAGATACCTAACCCCATAGTGTCATAATACATGAGGCAAAACCTGATAGAACTCCAAGGAGATATAGAAGAAACCACAATCATAGCTGGATACTTGAATATCCTTATATTAGAAAAAGGCAGATCAAGTGTGTAGAAAAACAGTAAGGACATAATTGAACTGAGTAGTACCATCAGTCAACTAGGTGTAATTGACATCTATTGACTATATCCAACAACAAAAGAATACATATTCTTCTCTTTTTATTTATTTATTTTTTATTTTTTATTTTTTTTGAGATAGAGTCTCACTCTTACCCAGGCTAGAGTATAATGGTATTATCACAGATCACTGCAGTCTCCTGGAGTCAAGCAATCCTCCCACCTCAGCCTGCTGAGTAGCTGGGATTACAGGTGCATGCCACCATTCCTGGCTAATTTTTGTATTTTTTATGGAGACAAGGATTCATTATATTGCCCAGGCTGGCCTTGAACTCCTGAGCTCAAAGAATCCTCTCACCTCGGCCTCCCAAGTGCTGGGATTACAGCCATGCCTGGTCTTACATATTCTTCTCAAGTTCTCATGGTACATTCACCACGTTTTAGGCCATAAAACACCTCTTAAAAATTAAGAACAATAGAAATCTTAGCCGGGTGCGGTGGCTCACGCCTGTAATCCTAGCACTTTGGGAGGCCGAGGCAGGCAGATCACGAGGTCAGGAGTTCGAGACCAGCCTGGACAACATGGTGAAGCCCCGTCTCTACTAAAAAAGATACAAAAATTAGCCAGGCATGGTGGAACATGCCTGTAATCCCAGCTACTCGGGAGGCTGAGGCAGGAAAATCGCTTGAACTCCGGAAGGGGAGGTTGCAGTGAGCCAAGATTATGCCATTGTACTCCAGCCTGGGTGACAGAGCAAGACTCTGTCTCAAAAAAAAAAAAAAAAAAAAAAAAAAAAAAAGAAAAAAGAAAAGAAAGAAAGAAAAAAGAAGAAAGAAAGAAAAAAAAAAGGAAATCTGACAATATCTGCTCTCAGAAAATAACGGAATTAAATGAGAAATTAATAGAAAACAGAAAACAGATAGCAAGGAAATTCCAAACTAGCTAGATACTAAATAACACTCTTCTAAATAACACATGGGTGAAAGAAGAACTCTCAAGAGGGATTTAAAAGTATTTTCAACTAAATAAAAATAAAAATACATGCTATCAATATTTGCAGGTTACAGAAAAGCAGGGAGTAGAGAGAAATGTATAACACTGAATCCATATGTTTGAAAACTTAAAATATCTAAAATCAATCATCTAAGCTTCCACCTTAGGAAACTAGAACAATAAGAGCAAATTAAATCCAAAGTAAGCAAAATAAATGAAACATTAAAAATTAGAAGAGATATCGATAAAATTTAAAATGGGAAATCAAAAGAGAAAATAAACAAAACTAATAACTAATTTTCTAATAAAACCAATAACTTGATTTTTAAAAAAAAATTGGATAAGCCTCTAGACAGGATAACTAACAAAAAAGAAGACACACGTTATTAACATCAAAAATAAAATAGAGGACATCACTACAGATACCATGGAATATTAAAATAATAAAAATAGTATGAGCAACTCTATATCCACAAATTTGATAACCTAGATAAAATTGACAAATTCATTGAAAGACACAATCTTCCAAATCTCACCTGAGGGGGAAATAGACAATTTGAATAGGCCCATGTATATTAAAGAAATTAAATCAATAGCTATTAATCCTCCAAAACAAAAAGCACCAGTCCCAAAGATGTTCACTGATGAATTCTACCAAACATTTAAGAACAGCACTATAAACAATTTTCTGCAATCTCTTCCAGAAAATAGAAGTGTAGAGTCCAAATTCTAATTACTCTGTGAAGTGAACATTATCCTCCTACCAAAACAAGTAAAAGGCATTACAAGAAAGCTACAGACCAATACCTTTTATAATCTTATGTGCAAAAATTCTCAAGAAAATATTAAAATATTGAATCTAAGAATATATAAAAAATATACACTATGATGAAACAAGGTTTATTTTACGTATGGAAAGCTGGTTCAACATTCAACAATTAATTAATGTAATCCATTACATCAACACACTAAAAAAACCATGATTATAATAATATATACAGATAAAGCATTTGACAATTCTAAATGCATGTATGATAAAAACTCTCAGCAAACTAAGAATAGACGGGAACCTCTTCTACATGATAACACCTAAATGAATCCCTACAACTAACATTGTATATGTGATAAAGAAGGAGTCTTCCCTTTAAGATAAAAAAATGAGTCTAAAATGTCTCCTGTCACCACTTCTTTTCATCATCATACCGAAAGTCATAGATAATTAAATGAGACATGAAAAGTATATAAAAGGCATACTAAAATTAAGAAATACACATAATACTGAAGGAAAAGAAAGAAGTGTGTTTTTTTACAGATGCTATGAATTAACAAAAACCTCCTGAAACTAATACTTAATTCTTCTGCTTATGTCTGGCTGTCTTCCTACTCTAACAGTGGGAGACAATATAGCACACAAAAGTCAACTACTTTTCTATGTTAAAGCAATGAACAAATGGAATCTGAACTTTAAAACACAATAACATTTATACTAGCATCCTCCCAAATGAAATGGTCAGGTATAAATCTAACAAAACATATACATGGTCTGTCAAAAAAAAAAAAAAGTGCATAAAAAGTCTGATGAAAGAAATAAAAGAACGAACAAAATTAATGGAGAGATATTACATGTTCATGGATGGAAAAACTCAATATTGTCAAGATGTCAGCTCTTTTCAACTTGATCTACAGAATGAAAGCAATCCTTATCAAAATTGCAGAATGTTATTTTGTGGATCTTCAAAAACTCATTCTAAAGTTTATAGGGAAAGTTAAAAGTCCCAGAAATGTCAACACAATATTGAAACGAACAAAGTCTGAGGACGAACGCTATCAAACTTCAACATTTACTATGAAGTTTCTGCAATTAAGACAGTGGGGTATTGGCAAAATAATAGAAAAATTGATCAATGGAATGCAATAGAGAACCAGAAATAGACCCACATAATTATAGTCAATCAATATTTGGTGAAAGAGCAAAGGCAATACTCTAGAGCAAAGATAGTCTCCTCAGTAAATGCTAGGAAAGCAACTGGACATCACTATTCAAAAAAAAGTAAATTTAGATATAGACCTCCCTGTTCACAAAAATTAGCTCAAAATGGAACATAAACCTAAAAGTAAAATGAAAAAGTATATAACATTTAAAGGATAATATAGAAGAAAACATGGGTATGGCAATGACTTTTTGGGCATAATGACAGAGGCACAATCCATGAAGAAAAAAATGGTAAGCTTAACCAAATTAAAATTTAAACTTCCACTCTGTGCAAAACACAAGGAAAAGGATGAAAAGACAAGCCAAAGAATGGAAGAAAGTATTTGTACAATATATTTCCAATAAATTACTGTTATTCAAATATACAAAGAAAATCTTCAGACTCAACAACAGGAAAATGAACAACCAAATGTAGAAAGATGCCAAATCCATGAATAGACACCTAAACAACAATAAAAAAGATATACAGATGGCAAATAAGCACATGAAAAAATGCTCTGCCATATGTAATTAGGGAAATGCAAATCTAACGAGCAATGACATACCACTACACACCTATTAGAAAGGCCAAAATCTGCAATACTGATACCACTAGATGCTGGTGAGAATGTCAAGCAACAGGAGTTTTCATTCATTGCTAGTGGGAATGCAAAATGGTCAGCCACTTTGGAAGTCAGTTTGGCAGTATCTTACAAAACTAAGCGCATACTCTTACCATATGATCCAGTATCTTTGGTATTAAGCCAAATGAGTTGAAAACCTGTACACACACACACACACACACACACACACACACACAAAAGTAAAAATACAAAATCTCCACATGAGTCTTTATAGCAGCTTTATTCATAATTGTCAAAACTGAAATTATCTCCTGAAGTAACATCAGCCAGATGGTGAAATAGGATTTTCCAGTGCTCATCTTGTCACAGAAACATCAATTTAATCAACTAACCGTGCACAAAATACCTTCACAAGATCTAATATATCCAAGTGAGAGATTATAGTACTCAGATGTACCACAGAAATAAGAAAAGATACACTGAAGGTAGTTGCAAGGGCAGTTTCATATTACCCACATCACTTCTTCTCCAAGCCCAGGCAGCAAAGTGTAGAGGGAGATATCCTTCACATGGGGGAAGGAGAGTAAAGTGAGAACTTGACTTTTTTGTGGACTCTAACACAAAGCCCACCCCTGTGAAACCTGGTACCAAGCTGACTCTCACAGCCCTAGGCTCTAAGCTAACCTTTTCAGGTTCAGACTCCAGGCTGGTTCCACCACCAGCTCAGCAGATGGAACCCAAGTCTTCAGGGCCACTTTGCAACATGTTGGTCGCAGGTCCCAGACTGACCCTCACTGGGACTCAGGTCCACCCCATCAGGCTGGCACCTGTAGCCTCAGACATCAGGCACACCCTAGTGTTAGACTTTCCCTCATAGCCTGTGTCCAGCTTGCCACCTGTAGACCAAGCCTCCTGACCCAATCCAGTGTCAGGCCAGCTCCTGTGGACCCAGTGTCCAGGTACAACCCAGCAGACTCAAGCTCCACATTCACCCCAGGCACCAGTTTCAAACCTGCAGGCTAAAGTACCAGGCTGGTCCCATATAGAAAAAACTAAGGGTTAATTTTTTGGAAAATAAAAATTGGCATACTTTACCTAGACTAAGAAAAAAATGGAGAAGACTCAAATAAATAAAACTATAAATAAATGAGGAGACATTATGTCTGATACAACAAAAATACAAAGAATCGCAGCAGACTACTATGAACAATTACACAGAAATAAATTGAATAACTTAGAAGAAATGGATAAATTTCTAGAAACTTACAATCAATCAAGATTATATCATAAGGAAATCTGAACAGACAAGTAATGAATAAGAGTGTTGAATTGGGAATCAAAAACTTCCCAACAAAGAAAAGCCCAGGACCATGTGGCTTCACTGGTAAATTCTACCAAACATTTAAGGGAAGATTAATGTCAATAGTTTTCAAATTCTTACAAAAAATTGAAGAGAATGGAACATTTGCAAATTCACTTTACAAGGCCAGCATTACCCTGATACCAAAACCAGGTAAAGACTCTACAAGGAAAAGATAATGACAGACCAATATCCCTGATAGACATAGATGCAAAAGTCCTCAACAAAATACTAGATAGCCAAATCTAACATTAAAAGGATAATACACCATGATTAAGTGGGTTTATCCCTGGTATGCAAGCTTGGCTTAACATATGCATATCAATAATTGTGATACACCACATTAACACAATAAAGGATAAAATCATTTGATCATCTCAATAAATGTAAAAGTTGCATTGATAAAAATTCAACATCCTTACATGATAAAAACTCTCAACAAATTAGGTATAGAAATGTACCTCAACAGAATAAAGGTCATATCTGACAAACCCACAGTTATCATTATTCTCAACAAAGAAAAGCTGTAAGCTTTTCCTCTAAGGCCAGGAACAAGACAAGGACGCTCAGTCATACCATTTCTATTTTAAAAAGTACTACAATTTCTAGCCAGAGCAATTAGGCAAGAAGAGGAATAAAAGGCATCCAAATTGGAAAGGAAGAAGTAAAATGTTCTGTGAGTAGATGACATGATCTTGTATATAGAAAACCCTAATGACATCACCAAATTGTTAGAACTAATAAACTATTTAGTAAAGTTACAAGATAGAAAATCAGCATGTAAAAATCAGCAGCATTTCTATGCCATAACTCCAAACTAAGAGTAGATTTTAAATTTTCTCACCACAAAAACATAGGTATATGATGTGATGAATATGTTAATTAGTTTGATTTATTAATTTTCCAATGTGTACATAAATCAGAACATCACATTGTATACCACAAATTTATACGATTTTAATTTTTCATTTATACTCTAATAAAGTTGGGAAAAACAAAACAATACAAAACAAATTGCAAAAACTCAGAAGTAACCCAGAAGTCCTTCAGTAAATGTTTGGATAAATGGATGAACAAATTGGTATATCCAGAAAATGAACTATTATTCAGGGCTAAGAAAAGAAAAAAAGCTATCACACCAAAAAAAAAATAGAGAAACATTAAATGCTTATTACTAAATGAAAAATCAAACTTGAAAAGGCTGTATACTCTAAATTCCAACTACATGGTATTCTGGAACAGACAAAACTATGAATATAATAAAAGGATTTGTGGTTGCCAGGGGGTAGGAGAGAAAGACAGATGAATAAGCAAAGTACAAATGTATTCTTTAGGGCAATGAAACTACTCTCTATGATATTATAATGATGAATACATGTCTTATATATTTGTCAAAATCCATAGAATGTACAACACCACAAATGGAACCTCATGTAAAATATGGACATTGCGTGATAAATATGTGTCAGTATAGGTTCGTAGATTTTAATGAATGTACCACTCTGGTGTGGGATGTTATTAGTCGAGTAATAGTAGGTCAGTATGTTGGGAGAAGGGTTATATGGGAAACTTCTATACCTTCTTTTCAATTTTAAAATTAATCAAAAACAACTCTAAAAGTCTATTTTTAAAAAATAATTTGGAGTAACATATTTCAGACAATCAGAATTTTTGTCCAACAATGTTCATTTGTTTTCAAAGCCATGAGTCAGAAAAATCATGTATTAAAGACCTTTTAAAAAATTATTTTAACACAATTTTAGATAACTTGCTCTCCCTATCACCATGGGCTAGTTGAAAGTTGACTGTAGTTCCACCTACTCAGCTACTCAGGAGGCTGAGGTGGGAGGATCATTTGTGTCTAGGAGGTTAAGGCTGCAGTGAGCCATGATTGCACCACTGCACTTCCACCTGGGCAACAGAGTGAGTTGAGACCCTGTCTCAAAAACAAACAAACAAACAAACAAAAAAACCACCACCACCAACAACAACAACAAAAGCAAACTTGGCTATATTATGTGAAAAGAAAGTGAAACAAAAAACAGCAAGATATAATATCAATCACCTAATAAAACAATATTTTGAATTTGTTTCTATCACATTGCAGTACCCAAGCAAATGCTCACTGTTTTCAAAGTGGTCATGTCATAATGATGATAGCAATAATTGAGATTTATTTTTTAAATGTGTACTTTTCACAAGAATTTCAAAGCATATAGAAGTTAGATTGTTTTATTGTGCTTCTGATTTTAATAATCTTTTTGTTCCTGATGAGCATATAATCAATAAAGATGAGCATTTGGGTTTATTTTAATGATTACAGTTTTGATACATAACTTTCCTTGAAAAATGTTTGTAGTAACTTAAAGCAACATTTATTAAGCTGCGTTTCAAGGAGGTATCTTCGTTCATAGCCCTTATAAAATTGTCTATTTGCTATTTTTCAATATTAACTTTATTTCACAAAGGTATCCATTTTTTTCTGACAATACTTTCCATTTTCTGTATATTGGATGTGTGCTCATGGGGTAATTAATCCTCTGTTTTTTCACATTAGGCAATTCAGCAAGCTGACTGAATTTTGAAAGGTACTGTCAACTGTCACTTGTCAGAATGGGGAGGGGATGGGAGGAGAGAAAGGACACGGAGTGAATTTAATCATAATCTCAGGTAAAAGCACTCACTTTTAGAAGGGCACTGTCAAAAGCCTGTCTGTGACACTGTTTTGCTCAATTTGTTAAAGAAAAGGAAAATATCACAGAAAAAATAAAAAGTCTTTATCAATCCAACACAGATCCTCATACCATGTAGAAACCAAATCCCAGCTCCAGGATCAAACTGCATACAAGTATATTGAATCTGGCACAAATATATACTATTGTGCAGACTCCCATAGCTCAGAGATAAATTGGTACCAAGGCATGAAAACTGTATTTTTTCATGTCTAAATTTTATTGGTGGTTGATTGCATTTCAAGATAAGTTTTTATCTGTGGTTGTCAGTTCTTTATATGAAAAGCATTAATGATCAGTTATTTACCATATGGAATTTTCCTTCTAAAAGTTCATGCTTTAGAGCTAAACAGAAGGCAAGAAAACCTCATGCCATCCATTTTATTTTAAATAAGCTATGTTAAGATAAATAGAATATATAGATTGAGGAATGATGATTGACCAATGAACTTAGCAATGCAGAAATCATGACCTTGAAAAGAGTAAATGTACTAAAGTGGTTAACATGAATCCATAAATGGATTGAATTCAAAATATATTTGGAAAATATTGGAGCTACTACATAAAGACGTTTTTGAAGAGCTATGTTATAAAGAAGGGAGGCAGAGAAGTTGGTTAATTGCTCAAAGAAGAAATGGAGTAAATTTCAAAATCATAGTTAAACCTCACTTCATCTTATATTCTTTTTTGTTTTTTTGAGATGGAGTCTTGCACTGTTGCCCAGGCTGGAGTGCAGTGGCACAACCTCGGCTCACAGCAACCTCCGCCTCCCGTTCAAGCAATTCCCCCTGCCTCAGACTCCCATGTAGCTAGGATTACAGATGTCCACCTTCCACCATACCCGGCTAATTTTTGTATTTTTAGTATAGATGGGGTTTTGAAATGTTGGCCATGCTGGTCTAAAACTCCTGACCTCAGGTGATCTGCCCACCTGAACCTCCCAAAGTGCTGGGATTACAGGCGTGAGCCACCGCACCGGGTCACTTCATCTTATAGTCAATACTGCTTTCTGCTCTTGCAAAAATATTCGAAAGAATGTATGACAAGGATGGCATTACCTCAGAGCTATGACAAAATTGAATTTTGTCATTTGATCATTCTACTATAAAGACACATGCACACGAATATTTATTGCAGCACTGTTCACAATAGCAAAGACTTGGAACCAACCCAAATGCCCATCAGTGATAGACTAGATAAAGAAAATGTGGCACATATACACCATGGAATACTATGCTGCCATAAAAAAGGATGAGATCATGTCCTTTGCAGGGACATGGATGAAGCTGGAAACCTTCATTCTCAGCAAACTAACACAAGAACAGAAAACCAAACACCACATGTTCTCACTCATAAGTGGGAGTTGAACAATGAGAACACATGGACACAGGGAGCAGAACATCACACACGGGGGGATTGTCAGGGGTTAGGGGGATAGGGGAGGGATAGCATTAGGAGAAATACCTAATGTAGATGACAGGTTGTTGGGTGCAGCAAACCAACATGGCACGTGTATACCTATGTAACAAACTTGCACGTTCTGCACATGTATCTCAGAACATGAAGTATAATAAAAAAAAAAATTAAAAAGAAAAAAATAACTGTGTTGAGGCTTTTTGCCCTTTTAAATGTTTTTTTATATACCAAAGTAATGCATATAAATAAAAAAAAAAGTTGGCAGTTTCTTATAAAAATAAATATGCAATTACCAAATGACCCAGATATTATAATTTAGCCATTTTTCCCAGATAAATAAAAACTTATATTCACACTTATATTCATGGCAGCTTTATTCATAATAGCCAAAATCTGGAAACAACCCAGATGTTCTCCAATGAGTGAATAGTTAAATAAACTATGCTACATATATACCAGGAAATACTACTCAGCAAGAAAAAATAAAATGAATGATTAATACACGCAATAACTTGAATGGATCTCCAGACAATTATTCTGAGTAAATAATGCAAATACTCAAAGGTTATACACTATATGATTTTGTATATATAATATTCTTGAAGTGAGAAAATCTTAGAAATAGAAAGCATATTAGTAGTTACCTGGCACTCAGGTTGGGGTGGGGGATAAAGAGGTGAAGGAGAAATAAACCAGAAACAGGGGAGATCTTCATGGTGATTAAACTGTTTGCATCTCAACTATATCAATATCAATAAAATGTTATATTGTAGTTTTTTTTTTTTAATTTTACTTTAAGTTCTGGGATACATGTGCAGAACGTGCTGGTTTGTTACATAGATACATATGTGCCTTTGCTGCACCTATCAACCTGTCATCTGGGTTTTAAGCTCTGTATGCATTAGGTATTTGTCCTAATGCTCTCCCTCCCCTTTCCCACCACCACACGACAGGCCCCATTATGTGATGATCCCCTCCCTGTGTCCATGTGTTCTCATTGTTCAGCTCCCACTTATGAGTTAGAACATGCGGTGTTTGGTTTTCTGTTCCTGTGTTAGTTTGCCAAGGATGATGGTTTCTAGTTTCATCCATGTCCCTGCCAAGGACATGAACTCATTCCTTTTTATGGCTGCATAGTATTCTATGGTTTATATGTGCCACATTTTCTTTATCTAGTATTTGGGAACCTGCCCCCGATAGTCACGTAGGTTCTTTTCTATTTTCCCTAAGTGTCGGCCGGGTTGAGAAATAAAGGGACAGAGTACAAAAGAGAGAAATTTTAAAGCTGGGCATCAGGGGGAGACATCACATGTCGGTAGGTTCCGTGATGCCCCACAAGCCGCAAAACCAGCAAGTTTTTATTAGGGATTTTCAAAAGGGGAGGGAGTGTACGAATAGGGTGTGGGTCACAGAGATCACGTGCTTCACAAGGTAGTAGAATATCACAAGGCAAATGGAGGCAGGGTGAGATCACAGGACCACAGGACTGGGGCAAAATTAAAATTGCTAATGAAATTTTCGGCACCACCGTCATTGATAACATCTTATCAGGAGACACGGTTTGAGAGCAACCAGTCTGACCAAAATTTATTAGGCGGGAATTTCCTTGTCCTAATAAGCCTGGGAGTGCTATGGGAGACTGGGGCTTATTTCATCCCTACAGTTTCGACCATAGAAGACGGCCACACCCAAGGGGGCCATTTTAGAGGCCTACCCTCAGGGGCACATTCTCTTTCTCAGGGATGTTCCTTGCTGAGAAAAATTCAGTGATATTTCTCCCATTTGCTTTTGAAAGAACAGAAATATGGCTCTGTTCCACCCGGCTCACCGGCGGTCAGAGTTTAAGGTTATCTCTCTTGTTCCCTGAACATTGCTGTTATCCTGCCCTTTTTTCAAGGTGCCCAGATTTCATATTGTTCAAACACACATGCTCTACAATTTGTGCAGTTAACACAATCATCACAGGGTCCCGAGGCAACAAACATCCTCCTCAGCTTACGAAAATGACGGGATTAAGAGATTAAAGTAAAGACAGGCATGGGAAATCACAAGGTTATTGATTGGGGAAGTGATAAGTGTCCATGAAATCTTCACAATTTATGTTCAGAGATTGCAGTAAAGACAGGCATAAGAAATTACAAAAGTATTAATTTGGGGATCTAATAAATGTCCATGAAATCTTCACAATTTATGTTCTTCCGCCATGGCTTCAGCCGGTCACTCCATTTGGGGTCCCTGATTTCCCACAACAATCTAGTCTATCACTGATGGGCATTTGTGTTGGTTCCAAGTCTTTGCTATTGTAAATAGTGCTGCAATAAACATATGTGTGAATGTGTCTTTATAGTAGGATGATTTATAATCCTTTGGGTATATACCCAGGAATGGGATTGCTGGGTCAAGTGGTATTTCTGGTTCTAGATCCTTGAGGAATTGCCGCATTGTCTTCTGCAATGGTTGAACTAATTTACACTCCCACCAGCAGTGTAAAAGCATTCCTATTTCTCCATTCCTCACCAGCATCTGTTATTTCCAGACTTTTTGATGACCACCATTCTAACTAGTATGTATTGTAGTTTTAAAGGAAGTTACCATTGGTACAACTGTATAAAGGGCACACTAGACTTTTCTGTATTATTTCTTATGTACGTGACTGTACATTTATCTAAAAAACAAAGAAACAAATTGCTATCCTAGTTACAAAGTTACAGAAGTTTCATGTAGCCACAGAGACAAATGCTTTCATTATTTAGCTGTTTTTAATTCACTTACACGTATATATGGATGTTTCCTAATATATAAGTTTTAGCCATTATCAGTTGTCTTCCTTTCTTCTTCTTTTTTTTTTTTTTTGAGATGGAGTCTCACTCTGTCGCCCAGGCTGGAGTGCAGTGGCGTGATCTCGGCTCACTGCAAGCTCCACCTCCTGGGTTCACGCCATTCTCCTGCCTCAGCCTCCCAAGTAGCGGGGACCACAGTCACCCACCACAACACCCAGCTAAGTTTTTGTATTTTTTGTAGAGACTGGGTTTCACCGTGTTAGCCAGGATGGTCTTGTTCTCCTGACCTTGTGATCCGCCCGCCTCGGCCTCCCAAAGTGCTGGGATTACAGGCATGAGCCACCGCGCCCAGCCAGTTGTCTTCCTTTTTTGATGGATAGGATTTCACTATTTTATAATATGGCTTACTTTTATATCTAATCCTCTAAATACAGGTATAGCAAAAGTTTTAATAAAATACTCAGTATTACGATTTTATATTTGTGTAAATATTGCTCACTGCAGAGCCTACTGAAATTCTGATTGAGTTTTCTCTTTCATGCAAGCTTTCTTTATCCTGAAGTTAATAATGGCTTTTTTTTGGTCACTTACATAATTCTTCAAATGTACATTTATATTTTTAAATGCTCCATCAAACTATGATATACATGTGAGTTATTTTGATAGAGTTTTATTATGTCAAACGTTCTTTTAAATCCCTTTATATTCTCAACATCTCATTATTGTAGTCCTTTATCCTTTTTCTCCAATCTAAGCTATTTGATTTCTAGGCCTGTTACAGGGATGTCACCTTCTAATGTTTCACTACTTAACTCATTCCTAAACTCCATCGCTTTCTCTTTCTTGATTTATTCCCCCACGTTGCTGGATCAGCTTCTTTAGTAGCTTCTAAGAAAAGCTTCTATAGAAGGCAAAATTTGTGAATCTTCACCTATCTTAAAATATCTATATTTTACCATTATACATGAGCATCAGTTGGACTGGATATTTTAAATTTTAGGTACTACAATATGAAGGTATTTCTTTAATGATTTCTACTATTTAATTCAGCCTTTGAGAAATCCTATGTTATTCTGCTTTTTATTCCTTAGTATACAAAATGTTCTATTTTTTTGTGTGTATGTGGTTGTTAATGATCATGTTGTTTGTTTGCTGAGAAATTTTCTGTTAATTTTGTTAGGTTCTCAATGTTCATTATTTATCTAGATGCTTCCGCTTTTCTGTTCTGAAAAGAATATTTTTATATTATTTCTTTGATAATGTTGTCCTCTCTATTTTTTTCATTTCGTCTTTAGAATAAATTTTTAGTAATCAAATGTTAGACCTCCTGAGTTAACCTCGTTGGTCTTTTGTTTATTTTCTCTAATTCCCATTTCTTAGTCTTTGGTTCTACTTTCTAGGATATTTATTAATTTTAGCTTAAGAAATTTCTAGTGAATTTTTTTGTGTGTATATATATACACACTCACACACATACACAGAGAATCTGTCTGTCCTTATTCTTTGCTCATTTCCTTCGGCATGTTGTTCTCTTATAATTAATGTAATATATTTGTCTTATAGCATATTAATTACATTTTTGTTTTCTTATGTTTTTATCACAAAATTAAATTCATACTTTTATTTTAAAAGTCAAACTATGTATAATTGTAAAAAAAAGTTTATATTCCTACTGAACAATAATGAATAACACCAAAAGAGCCATTTTCAAAAATATCATCTAATATAAAGGACATATACACCTGAACCTTTCTTTCTCAAACACTGTCCTCATATCTTTTCATTGCTGAAACAGCTCAAAGAGTAAATAAGTATGTTTAGTGTCAAGAGTGATCATTGCCAAAGTACATAAATCTGTATTCCTTAGAAAAAGATGTCAGTGAAAAAGCAAATAAACTCCATTTCTCTTCAATATGTCTCTTCATTTCTCTATTCCTTGTCTTACATATTTTGAAATGTTTACCCTCATTAGCCAGAAGATATATTTAGGTAGCTTATAGATTAAAATACAGTGCACAGTAAGATAGTTGTAAATACTAAAGGAAACATATGGAAGAGTGATTAGTAACCTGTGGCCTGAAAACTACAGACAGTCTGACACATTATCATTCCAAGATTTAAGAATGGAAATACACATTCAATGTGAACCTAAAATAATCAAAAGGTCAGAATCTATTTTAATTGGAATTTATTCAAGTACAAAGTTTGAGGATGAGCAAAGCACAGATTTCAAAAAATGGAAGTCAGTGCTTTGAAGTGTAAAAGTTTGGGATGACATGTAAACAAAGTTTATGGAAGTTTAACAGAATTCTAACATCTTTCTATATAAGGCTTAATGCTTCATGAGAATAATCTGAATAATTGAGGTGCTTTTTTTTTTGGAAAGGTATATTTAACATTTCACACTAAAGAAGTGATGTAACAATCATAGGCCTTGGATGCCATCTGGTCTGAGTTAGGTAAAGGAAAATAAAATAGGCAGTTAATCTGTAACAAAGATGAGTGATTGTAAGGTGGAGGACTGCTCTTTGGTCTCCTAGTAATGTACAGAACAAGAACAATGAGAAAGGGAGTTAATTTGTAATTTAAGAAGCAGAATTAGAAAAATGCTGTAACTCAGACTTTAGGGATTTATAAGCCCTTTATATAATACATTTAAAAGAACCTGAAATTTCATTTTCTTTTACATATCCCACTTTTTTTCAAAATCTTTTGGAGAAAACATTGCCTAAGAATCAGGTATTTAGGTAGTGTATTTATGACAAAATCCCATGTCGCTTTCTTTGAGCAGTGTTTTGTAGTTCTTTTTGTAGAGATCATTCACCTCCCTGGTTAGCTGTATTCCTAGGTGTTATATTTTTCTCTGATAGTTGTGAATGGGATTGCATTCTTGATTTGGGGATGACACAAACAAATGGAAAAAGATTAGATGCTCATGGTTAAAAGGACCATACTGCCCCCCAAAATTTAAAGATTCAATTCTATTCCTATTATACTACCATTGACATTCTTCACAAAATTAGAAAAAAAATAGTATTTTAAAATTCCTCTGGAAACCAAAAAGAGCATGAATAGCCAAGGCAATCCTAAGCACAAAGAATAAAGCTGAAGGCATCATGTTACCTGACTTCAAACTATCCTACAGGGCTACAGTCACCAAAACAGCTTCCATGGTACTGGTACAAAAACACACACATAGAAAAATGGAACAAAATAGAGCACCTAGAAATAACGCCATGCACCTACAACTATTTGACCTTTGACAAACATGACAAAACCAAACAATGTGGAAAGGATTCCCTATTCAATAAATGGTGCTGAGATAACTGGCTAGCCATATGCAGAAGATTGAAACTGGACCCCTTCTTTACACAATATACAAAAATTAACTAAAACGGATTAAAAACTTAAATGTAAAATGCA
The DNA here is from genome assembly GCF_000001405.40 of Homo sapiens. Lineage (NCBI taxonomy): Eukaryota > Metazoa > Chordata > Mammalia > Primates > Hominidae > Homo > Homo sapiens. Next base: position 89,712,673 of record NC_000023.11, on the reverse strand, counting down.
AAAATATAAAAACTCTGGAAGACTACCTAGGCAATACCATTCTTGACATAGGAATGGACAAAGATTTCATGACAAAGACATAAAAAGCAATTGCAAGAAGGGCAAAACTTGACAAATGGGATCCAATAAAACTAAAGAGCTACTTCACAGCAAAAGAAACTATCAACAGAATGAACAGATAACATACCAAATAGAAGAAAATGTTTGCAAATTATGCATCCGAAAGAGGTTTAATATCCAGCATCTGTAAAGAACTTAAACATATTTACAAGAAAAAAACAAACAACCCCGTTAAAAAGTGGGCAAAGGACATGAACACTTTTCAAAAGAGGACATAAATGCGGCCAAAAATCATATAAAAGAAAGCTCAACATCAGTGATAACTAGAGAAATGCAAATCAAAACCTCGATGAGATACCATCTCATACCAGTCAGAATGGCTATTATTAAAACGTCAAAAAGTAACAGATGCTGGCAGGGTTGTTGAGAAAAAGAATGCTTATACACTGTTGGCGGGGGTGTAAATTAGTTCAACCATTGTGGAAGACAATGTGGTGATTCCTCAAAGACCTAAAAACAGTAATACTATTCGATCCAGCAGTCTCATTATTGGATATATGCCCCTAAAATATAAATAATTCTATTATAAAAATACATGCACCTATATGTTCATTGCACTACTAGTCACAATAGCAAAGAAATAATATCAACCTAAATGCCCATCAATAGTAGACTGGATAAAGGAAATGTTGTACATATACACCATGAAATACTATGCAGCCATAAAAAAGAATGAGATTGGATCCTTTGGAGCAACATGGATGCAGATTAAGACCATCATCTGAAGCGACCTACCACAGGAATAGAAAACCAAATACCACATGTTCTCGCTTATAAGTGGGAGCTAATCAATGAGAACACAGGGACACATAGAGGGGAACAACACTCAGTGGGGTCTATCAGAGGGTGGAGGGTGGGTGGAGGGAGAAGTTCAGAAAAAAACAACTCATAAGTACTAGGCTTAATACCTGGGTGATGAAATAATCTGTACAACAGATCCCCATGATACAAGTTTACCTATGTAACAAACCTGCACAAGTACTCCTGAACTTAAAATAAAAGTTCAATTAAAAAAAAAAAATCTGGCAGCTGCAGTGGCTCACGCCTGTAATCCCAGCACTTTGGGAGGCCGAGGTGGGTGGATCACCTGAGGATGAGAGTTTGAGACCAGCCTGACCAACATGGAGAAACCTCGTCTCTACTAAAAATACAAAACTAGCCGGGCATGGTGGTGCATGCCTGTAATCCCAGCTACTCGGGAGGCTGAGGCAGGAGAATGGCTTGAACCCAGAAGGTCAAGGTTGCGGTGAGCTGAGATGGCGCCACCGCACTCTAGCCTGGGCAACAAGAGTGAAACTCGGTCTCAAAAAAAAAAAAAAAAAATCTATGGAAGTCATGTCCCATGAAAGTGAGGAGGATACATCTCACTGAAGAATTTTATGAGTGTCAAAAGACAAACTAGGATGGCAGAACAGGGTGGCAACAATGCAACCTCAGTCAAGTTGCTGATTTATACAGCTGTTGTTAATTATTGAATCATCTCTAATCTTTGGAAGCATTATGGGTTAATTTTCTTGGGAGAAGTAAAACAATGAGAGATACATAGCAGAAATATAGTGTACATAAGGATTATAGTTAAAAAGAGAATTCGTGTGTCAGAACAAAAAACCTATTTCACTGGGGAGTCAACTAAAAACATCATGAAGAAAATTAAAACCCAGTCCTTCTTTATAGACCTGTTGTAGCCATAAAATAATTTGGGATTTAGTCCAAATTGTAGGAAAATAATACAAACTCAGAAATAATGATGAGAGCTGGAATGTAATAATAGGTTTGTTATAATTTTCCCTGATACATAATTTTTCTCTCCCCAGTTCCCCATTTCTACCAAAGATATATCTTAGCAAAACCAACTTACTTGCAAAATAAGTTTTAGTATTTTACTTGGCCTGATTATTTGCATAAACAAGAATAATGAATGGTCATATAGGGTCTTTTAAGTTGACTTTGCTGGAATGTTTTCATAAAGAATCTCAAATTCGACTTCTAAAAGCCTTTTAAGACGGGGAAACCAAGCCAATAATTCACCATTAGACTATGCCTGTAATATGTGCATAAATTGAGTGAATTTCTCTCTTCTTGAGGTCCCCAAATATCTTGAGGTTCCTAGGCTCCTAAGGGAACCAAGTAGATGAGGTACTAGGCCAATCTTTCTAAGGGGCTCTTTATCAACTTTATAAGGTCCACTTAAATTCCTCAAAGCAGTCTCGTCATATCCGTAAAATATGCCATTTCAGATGAAGCTTTGGTTAAATAACCAGTGTTTTCAATTGTGTCCTGTTACCAAGGAAAATGGATTCTTATTGAATTGTTTTCTTGATTCTGGAAAATAAAATAAGAAGTAAATCAGCAATGTTTCAAACAAAAAAGTAATAAAAAATGACTGAATTCTATAACAATTCCATGCATTTAATTCTTATTCTGCTTAATGTTGGCTTAGCATTCCTTATAAAGGTATTTGCTTTTTAATTAGAGTCCTGGAAATGTTTTATCTAGTCCAATGAAAGGTATAATCTCCAAAGTTATCAGAAATCCTTATTTAAGAGTACTTGCCAATGTCCTTTTTCTTTTTATGAATTTCCTTGAAGAAAAGGCAAATTTTGAACTGTAGAGAATTGAAAACCATTTTTTGAAAAAAATCAAACAATAATTGTTTATGTATGACAAAAGACTTAGATTAGTCATGCTTAAAGATGCAATTGAGAAGAAAATTTGGTCATTTCTGTGGCATATAACAATTTAACTTAATAATCCTAATTATGACTGACAACATACATGAAGACATATCAGAATTTAGGAATATCATATAATTTTTAAAAAACATATTAATAACATTTATACAAATATAACTTAAATTAAATTAAACACCATTTCTTATTTATGAATTCTTCCCACATAATTTTAACATACCAAATAATCCTAATATGTCTTGCTTGGACTTCCATGGATTCCTATTTGTTACATTTAAGTTAGTTCACGTAAAAAAAAATCTTAATTTTAGAATTTAAAATTTGATTTGGGGGAGTATGCCAAATATCAAAGATTGGAAACACTTAATATTAAAATTAGGATCACAGGTCACTGTAAAATGTCATTTATTTAGCTAAAATGATAATTCAAAGATTTCAAAAGGCAAAGGGCATTAACCTGATAGAGACTCAATTTCCCAAACAATTAAAAGATCCTCAGAAGATAGAATGAGACCAAAAGGACATGTCTCTCCGTCTCTGCCCACCTCTATTATTGTTTCTGCAATTTACTCAGAAGGGAAACAAATCTTTTACTATCTCTTATTAATACTACACAAAATTCATGTTCGAAAACACAAATTTTACTTTTATATTCATGTATTTAAAATACAAAAGCTAATATTAATAAAACCTTAAAATCAAATTCATCTAATCTCAATTTGCTTGGAACACATATTAGAAGATTTTTATGCAACATTTGTAATATCTTACAATTTTTTTCATTTTTTTCTTTCCCCAACTTTTAGATCCAATTAAAGTTTTTTCTACATATCATTTTACTTCATTTTGAAACAAACTTCAAATAACATTTAAACCAGAAAAAAAAATCATCTTTTCTTTAATAAAAATCACATATTTATGTTTTTCTTATAACCTTTTTTCCAAAAAAGTGTTATTTTAAAAATATATTTTGCATTTAGAATTGTACTTAGTACAATTTAGTACTATCAATTACATATATTAATTATAATATTAACTCAGTAACCCTAAGTTTCTGTGAAAAACCTAGAAAGTAAGTAATTTTAAAACATTTTATACCACTATTTGTAGAAGAATACTATTTTATAATCGGTATATGTATTTATTATTTAAGAGATAAGGTTTTGCTCTGTTACTCAGGCTGGAGTGTATTGGCACAATCATAGCTCACTATAACCTCTAACTTCTGAGCTCAAGGGATCTGGGATTCTCTCATGTCAACGTCCCAAGTAACTGAAACTACAGGCATGCATCATCACATCTGAGTAATTTTTAAATTTTTTGATAGCGATGAGGTTTTGCTGTGTTTCCCAGGCTGGTCTCAAACTTCTGTCCTCAAGTAATCTTCCCAAATCAGCCTACCAAAGAGCTGGAATTACAGGCATGACACTCTGTGCATGGCCCCATTTCATAATTTTTAAAAAATGTTTCCTCGATTTTTTTGTTTATCAACAAATTTAAGCATATTTAGTTTTTCTATGCCATATAAAAATAATATGCCAAATTATATAAACTTAAGCTTATATTTGATAATTAATGTTTCAGTATTTTAACTTACCTAGAAATGTCTCAGTCATCAAATATTTATCTATCACTTCATTTAACATAACAATAATTCAAGATATCAAATTACTAAAATATTTTTGAAACTGTAAAAACTTCATTTATAAACTTATATCTCATTTAATTTGTTCCTAATATTTATGATTGAATAGTTCGTTAAACTAAGCTAGCCATCACCTCGTTAATTTTTTATTTACCATTTTTATATTACTGCATGTTAAGCAAATATAGCAGCAAAAAATCATAAAGTTGAATGCATTTTTTGTTCATAACAGAATAAATTATTGTTTTTGTTAAGTTGAAAATATTAAACTACTCTTACCAAAGATTTACACAAGTCATGCAAATTAAATGGCATTTGAGGAGTTAGTTTCTATTTTTCTGATAAAATATTTGACTTAGGCACTTACTTTTTTTAAGCCAATTATTTAGAGCTCTTTCACATGTTTTGGTAGTGAAATGTCGCCTATAAACATATAGACATAGAGACACACAGACAGAAGCAGATTTTATAGCTTCACAAAGTTTTTCCTTTGCTGGTTTTCAAATAGTTTCTCTCATTCCTTCAGACTATCAAGCCCTAAATAATTGTTAGCCAGGCAACAGTAAATTTGCTCTTCCAAAAGACATGACTCAGGCAAAATTTACATCCCAAAGGCAAATAACTTAGATGTAAACAGCATTATTTGCTGAGAGAAAGAATGAAATAGGTACAGGCTGAGTCAAGACAAAATTGCAGGAAAGTATCTTGAACAAAGGTAAGGTTTGTTATGTAAACTTAGAGCCAATATATTCATCATGCAGAAAGAGAGATGTTCTTACAAATGAAGATCTCCTTTATACCTGTAAAGTTCTTTTACAAAGGGATTTCAAAATAGCCAGCTAAATGCCAGAAAGATGTACTTTTTATACTAATTGTCTTCAGTGGGTGGTCTTGCCAACTTAGCTTCTATTTCTTATCTAAAATTATTGAGTCCGGAGTGGAGCTCATTATGGAAGCAGGCAAATAATTTTTTTATGCCTAGTGTCATCATAGATAGCTCTGAAAAAGAAGTAAGCCTACCTTATCTGAAGGCTTACCTTTTATAAATACTTTATTCCACTTTTCTTTTTTTAAAGCCAAAGGTATCCTTTGGTGGAGTGACCCACCAAAACCAGTGAGCCTTAACCAAATTTATAACTTAACCAAGAATTAACTAGATATCTCCAAAGACGTGTAAAGCAATCCTTACAAGATCCAGAATTACTCCAGAGACAGCTCAAAGAAAGAAAAGTCTTGCTAGTCATAAATGGAATACAACCCACATTTCTATCTGGCCAGATTTTCTAGGATATCAGCTTCTCAGCTGAGCACTTACACATGAAGGCCCCAAAGCTCCATGTGCCCCACATATGAAAAGACAGAAAATCGAAAGCTGTCCATGGAAGGGAAAAGGTTCAGTAACAAATAGGTGCCTAAAAGGTGTGGAGTCATACAAATAATTTAAGACAAATGAGACTGATTCCCTAATGAGGGACTGAAAACAGTTCACAGTGATGAAAGCTCAGAATCCTAACCACTAGACCACAGGACAGAGTGCTTTTTGCAGATCCTGTATGGGATCCAAAGCAGGCACTTTGAGTATTTAAAGAATTTTAACTTGTTTCAGATCTGATCTCAACTGCTGCTTAGCTAATTCCCTGGATATTACCATTTCAAAGACTTCATAAGATTCACATCTCCAAGGGACCACAAAATAAACCAGGGCATTGAAAGGATTCATCTGCTGTTCCATCAATATATCATCAGTGTTGTTCATCATTTCTGGTTTAGAAATAATTTGTTGGATCTGTATTTTTATAATCTTAGGTTCATTTTCATTCTGTAGTTGTTCTGTTTATTCCCACTGTTCCAAATTTAAAAACATTGTCCCCCTTTTGAGTAAAGGAAATGTGTGCATAGTGGAATTCCAAAAATCTCTGCCTAAAAGATGTATGGGAACTGAAGAAATAAGCAGAAAGGGATGAGTTCAGAGCTCCAGGCTAAAGAAAACGAGCAGTTGGAGGTGACAGGGAGAAAGCCTTCAGTGTTTACTTTTTTAATTTAAAAAATAGTTTTAGACAATATTTTGTTTTCTTCCTTCAAAGAAATGACTTTATCAGAACCTCTTTTACAGGCTTCTAAGTACTATTGAAAAATATCTCTTCAAGTTCTTTTAGTTTACTTTGGAGCTGTCTGTTTCTCATTGAGCACACAGATAAACAAATTTAGGTATTTTAAAGTTACCCTATTCTGGCTACCTGTTTTTAAAGGTACTCCATTTCGGGGTCTTCATGCATTAAGTAAGACCATTTTTCTAGATATCAACAGGAAATGGTGCCATAAGTATTTTACATAAATTCAGTTGGAGTGTCTAAAGGTGGATTTCTCCTTGAGGATAAAGACTTGGCCTTATAGGTATGATTGCTCATAATTTAGATTATTACCTAGTGTGAAGAATTTTGATCATTCAAGAAAGTTTCAAATTGTCAATTTAATCAAGCCTCAGAATCTGGTCAGTTTTAAAGATTACATATATGTTGCTTAAGCTACAAAAATTTCACTTTTTCTTTTCAAAGAGAAACCATTTTCTTCTTGACTGAACTTCTACTGAGAGAAATAGATTGCAAACTTTAATAAGTAAGATAAACAAAATCTTAACCTCAGAGGAAAATGAAAATCACAAATCTGCAGGCAGCAGACTCTATAGAGAATAACAAATAATTCTCCTTCCTTAAAAGCAAAGCTTCAATTCCAGCTCTGGGGAGTGTGATTCAGGTCACTTGAATAAGGCCCAAATTCCAAGCCAAAATTAGGGAGATTTGAAACCCAAGAAGAGTCTTGACAGAGACCCCTGCCAGCTCTGGTGAGGTTGGGTGAACAAAAGCCATATGCGCTGGTATCAAGGCACCAGTTGTCTGCAAAATGGTAGGAATCTTGGAGACTTGCTTCAGGTTCCTTCTGAGTTACCAAAATGTCAACCTAAAATAATCGAAATGGTCAGAATCTAGTTTAAAGAGAGTTTATGCAAGCACAAAGTTTGAGGATGATCTACCTAAGAAGTACAGATTCCAAAAAAATGGAAATCAGTGTTTCAAAGAGCAAAAGTTTGGGATTGCTTATATAAACAAAGTTTAGGGAAGTTTAACAGAATTTCAACATATTTCTATGTAAGGCATAACACATAGTTTCAATAATCTGATTAGTCAAGGTGGTCTTTTTCTTTCAGAGAGACATATTGAACATTTTACACCAAAGATGTAACAGTTATTGGGTCTTGGGTATCATCTAGTCTGAGTCAAGTACAGGACCAAAAAGGAGACAGTTAATCTATAACAAACATTATAGCTTGTTAATGTTAATGTTTGAATCACTTTCCATTGGAAAGTGGGAAGGTCTGGTCTTTGGTCTCTCCTAGTCATTTATGGAACAAAAACAATGAGGAAGAGGGTTATCTATCACTTAAGAAGCAGAATTGCAAAAGTGATATATGATTCTATCACTAGGGCTTAACTTCTCCCTTAGCATTATAAATTCAGAGGGTCCTGAAATTTTATTTTCTTTTACACATATTATGTATTCTCAACTGTGCCTATATATTAATATTTTAGTAACAATAAAATAGTGCCTAATTCTCATTGTCAATTAGAAAACATATAAAGTATGTAATCTAAGTTGTAAGAATATGCATTTTTATGTAGGGCCCAATGAAGCTATCTTTATTTTGAATGAAAAAATGCAAATAAACATGTTTAAATTCCTTAACTTACCCTCATGTGGAAATTATTGCTCACCAATTTGCTGTATAGGAAGCCAATGCCTAGATACTAATGTATACTATTAGGACTCTGAGATATGCAGGAAATTCCAAATGATTAACATATTTGGCCTCAAGGTCTTGGCAGCTGAGGCAAAGGGTGAAACAGGTTAATTTTCATTTAGCCATTTAAAGTTCGCAAAACAACTACAAAGTGCAGGTAAGTATAAAAGAGTTTACTGAGGCTCATGCCTGTAATCCCAACACTTTGGGAGGCCAAGGTGGGAGAACTGCTTGAGGGCAGGAGTTTGAGACCAGCCTGGTCAATACAGCAAGATATCCCCTATCTACAAAAAATAAAATATTTAAAAAAAGAGTAGGCAAGTGTGGTGGCGTGTGCTTGTATCCCAGCATCTCAGAAGGCAGAGGTAGGAGAATACCATGAACCCAGGAGTTTGAGGCTGCAGTGAGCTGTGACTGTACCACTATACTCCAGTCTGGGTGAGACAGCAAGACCCTGTCTCCAAAAAAAAGAGTTTACTTAGCATTTTGCTTTCAGTAACTACTTCAAAATATTTTAAAAATGAATGAATGAATGCATACTTGAAGGAATGATATACTCAACAAAAGAGATCTAAAACCAGCCCTCACAGTGTTTAACTGAAAGACTGTGCTATATGTATTATAACAAGCCAGGCTTTTAAATAGGCACTAAAAAAGAACAAACCCAAATACCTGGTAGCGTACAAGAAGATACAGAACCTCATTAGTAATGAGGGTCAGGTTAAATGAAACTACAATGAAGAAAGTATACATAGCTATTTTGACAAAAAAGAAACGTCATTACAAAATTATAGCAGGGACATGAAACAACAAGAACTCTCATATTCTGATGGTAGATTAAATTGATTAAACTTATATGGACTATGATTACTTTAATTAGAAATGTTGATGTTGTTTATCAAACTCAAGCATCTGCCTAAACCATCTTAGCAATTTCACTGCTAGTTGCAAGCAGAGAGAAGTCTTGACTATGTGCACAAGGAAGCTTATATAAGTACATTCATGGAATCAATGTTTATAATGGCAAAAACTTTAAACAACCCAAGTACCTATCAACAATAGAACATGTAATTATGTTGTGGTCATACAATGAAATAAATCATAGGAGTGAAAAAGAGAAAATGGTATTCCTTTACCCTTGAACATGGATGTTTTTCACAAACATAACTTTGAGCAGAAGTGAATCACGGAGTAATGTATATGGAATAGCTAAACTTTACAATAGCTAAACTTTGCACATTGTAAAGTCCAAAGCCACAGAAAACCTAACAATATAGTTGTCTTTTTTTTTTTTTAATACGGAGTTTTGCTCTGTCGCCCAGGCTGGAGTGCAATGGCGCGATCTTGGCTCACTGCAAGCTCCGCCTACGGGGATCACGCCATTCTCCTACCTCAGCCTCCAGAGTAGCTGGGACTACAGGTGCCCGCGACCACGCCCGGCTAATTTTTGTGTGTGTTTTTAGTAGAGACGGGGTTTCACCATGTTAGCCAGGATGGTCTCGATCTCCTGACCTCGTGATCTGCCCGCCTCGGCCTCCCAAAGTGCTGGGATTACAGGCGTGAGCCACCGCGCCCAGCCAACAATATAGTTTTCAAATGTGAATATGTATATGATAAAACCACAAATAAAAGTAAGAGAATGATTAATCAAGATAGAAGTTATATCTGAGGGAGGGGAATATATTCATTGAGGGCTATGCAGGTTATTGTTACATGAGTGTTTATTTTATAATTACTATTTATTAGTTAAACTACAAAAATATTTTATACTCTCTTATATAAAAATAAAATTAATGGAACAGTAGTGTAATGAGTTTTAGTATTGTACCATTTAGCCATCAGATTCATTTATTTGGGTTTAGGAGAGAGAGATGAGATTCTCTCTCCAGAATGAAGAGCTAAGAAGCAAACCTGGTAGGAAATCATATAATGGTGATGATCATGACGATGATGATCATGATGTTGCTAGATATCAGATGATAAGTAGTATTTATCGAGCACTTACCATGCCCTGGCACCCTAATTAAAGTGTATTATATCATTTAATCTCCAAAGAAAAGTATGTGTTAAGTACTATTATCATCCCCATTTTAGAAATGACTAAATGTAAGCAAGGAGAGGTTAAGCCAATTGTTTATGGTTGCACAGCCAGCTTCTACAGTCCAAATTCCAACTAAGACAAGCTCCAGAGTCTGTACCCTTAGCCCACTAAGAAGATAACAGGGGACATGAAAGGTTATGGAATAATAAAGGGACCAGTAAATTGAAGGTGGACTTCAGAAAAAGAAAACAAAGCAATTTCCCACTGGATTGAAAAACAGAATGAGGATTAGGGAATTCCATCTTAAATGAATGAAGCTCTAGAGAAAAAAGGAAATCTAGGCGTAACACAGAAATAAAGATAGTGAATCTCATTAGATAGGCACAAATCATTTTATCAGATGCTCAAAATGTATGTGAACTACTCCTTAACTTAGTTTCAAAAAGCAAGGTCCAAAGACTGCCTATACCCAAATTTTCAGGAAATTTGTTAAGTGTAGATTCCTGGACCTCACCCTTAGTATGAAGTACCAAATCAGAATCCCTGGATGTATGTTTATGAAATAAATTTTAAAATAAATTCCACACATGTTTTATACACAGTCAAATGATACTGCCACTGCCCTAATCTGGCTTTGTGTCACAGTATTCCCAAGTAAACATCCAAAAATATGTGAGATTACTTTTAAGAAAACACAAAAAAAGTAATAGCAAGACAACTAATTTTTCAAGTCTAGTATTATTTATTGGTGTATGTTGCCAAACAATGCTTTCTTTATGAAGGCATATAGGGACTGCCTAGCTAGAAATAGGAATTACTTCTTTAAGCCAAAAAATAATTTTGTTGAAAAAAGAAATGTTTCATTAGGGAAAGAAAGTATCAAGATGGGGCTTCATGTCTTCACACAACTAAGCAATTGAACATTTCTTTCCATGCTGTAAAAGAAAAATGCACAAAGGTAGATGTAGATACTGGATCATCCAGTCTCAGTGTTCTAGCAGTATTCTAGCCAGCTGCTAAGACAGGTGTCTGTGAATTAACAAGCAATTTATTGAATTAAGGTCCTTACCTGATAATGTTTTCCTTAGAAGAAAGCACCTTTTTCTTCCCTGGTAGGGCAAGCTGCTATGAAAATGATGACTATCAATCTACTTTTTATTGCTATTGTTGTTAAGCATATAAAACTTTTGACCTTTGACAAAATACAGAGGCTTCATCAGATCTATATATAAGAAAATGATAGAATCAATTGTTCTATTGACTTATCTTTCTTGCCTTTAGTGTCATTTCAATATATTGATTAATACAACAGAGCTATATTGCCTAGGTTTGGATCTTGGCTTAGCCATTTATTACCTGTGTGACTGTTGGCACATTATACTTCATTACCTCCATTTCCTCAACTTTAACATGGGGGTAATTTATTTTATAGGGTTGTTGTTAAGAGTTCTTAATACATGTTAAGGGCTCAATAAAATATTTTAACTTTTCAGATATTTCAGTCATAAACGTATTCCTTTAGGCCAACACATTAGCCCCACATTTAACTAGAGTAGTTGAGATATAGAGGGTATTAAAAATACACCTGCCCCCAAATTTCTTCTCCATCATCTTACATCACTCTAAGAAATTTCCAACATTTGTCATTCCTTGCTTTCAATTTGGAAATGAGGTTATTTTTTTCCCTTCTTTATTGTTTTTTACTTTTATTTTAGGTTCAGGGGTACAAGCGCCTCTTTGTTACATAGGTAAACATGTTTAATCTGATTAAAACGTCATTTTCCCTTTTCTAAAATGGGGAAAATATAAGTTAGTTAACATGTTCATAGAATGCAGAGCCCTGAGTCAATTAGGTACACAAACATGAAATTTGACTTGGAGTCAAATAGACTTTCAATTATATACCAGAAGAAGTTAATGATGACCCACAATTACCACCACCCAAAAAACACACACACACACAACCACTAGAAGCACACAGAAATGCTGGATGAAATATGATCATTTAAAAAAATATGTATAGCAGATTTAAAAGAAAGGAAGGAGAAATTGAAAAATAAAAGAAGGGATAGGGGAAAGAAGAAGAAAGGGGGAAAGGAAGAAGAAAGGGGAGAGGGAGTGGAGAAGGGAAAGAAAAGAGAAAATGAAAGAGGAAAGAAGGGGAAAGGAAAGCAGGAACGGAGAAGGTAATAGGAATGAAGAAGTATTAATAACAAAGTGAGAATGGTAAGCTAAAACCAAAGGAATGTTAGCCCTTCACTCTATAAAACCTACCTACAGACAATAGAACAGTCAGCTAGGATTTTTTTTCTTTCTTTTTTTTTTTTTGTTTTAGACAGGGTATCACTCTGTCACCCAAGCTGTAGTGGAGTGCTGTGATCATGGTTCACTGCAAACTCTGCCTGCGCTCAAGCGATCCTCCTAGCTCAGTCTCCTGAATAGCTGGGACTATAGGCACACATCACCATGCTCAGCTAACTTTTTGTATGTTTTTGTAGAGATGGGGTTTCACGATATTCCCCAGGTTGGTCTCAAACTCCCGGGCTGAAGCGATTCTCCTGCCTTGGTCTCCCAAAGTGCTGGAATTATAGACTTTGGCCACTGCGCCAAGCCAGAATTTTATGGCTTAGGGAGATACATCAATTTTGGGTCCCCACTCAGGTGAGGTAGATTGTTATAAAGCTGGAAGCCTCAAAATCCAGTCCTATCTGTAAAGGAGACACTAATAAATGAATAAATAAACAAACAAATAAACAAAAGACTTGAGGAAGTGGTAAGAAAGATTGCTTTCTAACCAAGAATGTGAATTGGGAAATGAAAGTTCAGCCATATTAAATCAAAACCCCAAGCCTAGATGATAAGAAGAATTATTGGGTTGAAAATTGTCTCTTCCCATGTAATATAGGGCCTCAGACAGAAAAAAATAATGAAAGAATTCTTCTAGGACAGATCAAACACCTTGGATTCCAGAAAAATAAGAAAAGGTGATACAACAAGCTCTAAATATGAGCTTTACAGATTTCACAGGTTTGCCTAAAGCTATACCTGCCCAAAAGAAAAAAGACGAGAATTTTTCCTTGGGAAGTGTCCCTGAGTTTTTAAATGTGAATTTCTGCCATGCTATGACATGGTCTCCTAAAGAAGATGGTGCTAATTTAGCCTGAATTGAATAAAACAACGATATTCAATGATTTTCAACCCACATAAAGGGCATTAACATAAAAATCTCTGAATAATCTGTCATATTATATAAAAATAACTGTATCATTACTGCTTCTTTTACTATTTATAAAGCCCACCTTTGCTACCTAAATTTTCAAGTTTAAAACATTCAGAAATAATGGTGTGCAAAATAGTATGAACTATTTTCTTCTTTTAAATATTGATGTTTATTTTACCTTAAATGTCACAGTTAATGTCTCCATTGTTTTTTCAAACAGTTATAATTTTTATCTTCTTTGTTTGAACTAGATAAAGAAGAAAGACAGGAAATATCAGGCAGGTAGAGATGCTAATTTTTCCCCTTATTTAAACAAATAGAATACAGTTAGAACATTTATTCAAATATGTCCAGATTGGTACAATTGGAACATCAAAAAAAATGAAACAGCAGTTGGACAGATGCATGAAAAATTAAGCCATGCCCATAATGAGTGTAACTTGCACAATTCTAGTCATTTCCTGAAATGCCATTGCTTTTTAAAATGTGTTTCCTTGATGCATTTTTAAATATGTATTACACAAAATTTCTTTTGGAAGAATTCACATAGAGCATGGTAGGAAATAAAGGCTGAAGTGATATGCAATAAAAGTACAAACAAAAATGACACTTATTTGCAATTATTATCTTATGTTATTAGTGCTAACAACTAGGCCTGAAGTTAACAGAGCATGATGTGGTTCATGATTTCTTTGTGCTCTGATGGAAGCTAAGAAAGCCCAGCATTCTGGGAAGCCAAATCATTAAACCGTATAAATAAACAACAATTAATGGTACTTTAAAATAAATGATATGGATGTTTATATCTCTGCTTTCTAATTTTTAGACATAGAGTGGAGTGTAATTTAGTGTAATTGCCACAAGATAACAAGGCATATTAGTTTGGTATTGTCACTTACTAACTACCTATGCAACTTTAGGCAAGCCATCTAAACTTTTAAGCCTTTGTGCTGTTTTGTTTTGTTTTTTGGTAAATGCAAATAATATATCTACCTGCTCACCATCAAAGATTTGATTATCAAAATAGGAATACGGATAAAAATGCCTGGTGGTTTTCATTCAAGGCAGGAGTTTCAGCTAAAACTTTTAATTATCATCAAACTTTCCAACCAGATTAAAATGGTAGCTATGTTATCAAGAAGCTATACGCCAAGTTATTCATTAGATAGGATGGCAGAAATGACTGCCTTATATTCTTTGCTTTTGGGGACTGAGGAGCAAGCCATGCAACACTGAAACTAAATGTTATTTTCTTAACATAATTAAAGTTCAATTTTGAACTTTCATTGTTTAATTGTATCAAAAGAACCTATGCAAAATTCCAAATATATAGTTTCTCTTCAAATGTGATTATTTTGGGAAGCTGCTCCAAAATTGCCACAAGCCCCACTTGGTTCTAGAGATGGACATATTATATGATTTAAGAACAGGCAGAATTGTTTTGCAAAATAAATAGAAAATAAATACCATCTCATTTTACTGTGCTTCGCTTAATTGTGCTTCATAGATACCATGTTTTTTTACAAATTGAAGTTTTGCCTTGCATAAAGCAAGTCTATTGGTGCCTTTTTTTTTTTAACAGCACATGTTCACTTTGTGTCTACATCACATATTTGTAATTCTCACATTATTTCAAACTTTTTCTTTATTCTTATATCTGTTGTGGTGATCCGTAATCAATGATTTTTGATATTACTATTGTAATTATTTTGGGATGCCACAAACCATACCCATGTAAAATAGCAAACTTAATATATAAATGGGGTATGTGTTTTGTTGACTACCCCACTGACTGGCCATTTCCCCTTCTCCCTCCCTCTTTTCAGGCCTCCCTATTCCCTGAGAGACAACAATTTTGACATTATACCAGTGAATAACTCTATAATGGACTCTAAGTATTCAAGTAAAAAGAAGAGTCACATATCTCTCACTTTAAATCAAAAGTTAGAAATGATTAAGCTTAGTGAAGAAAGCATGTTGAAAGCTCAGAGTGGTAAAAACAAGGCCTCATGTGCCAAATATTTAGCCAGCTTTTTTTTTTTTTTTTTTTTTTTTTGAGACGGAGTCTCGCTCTGTCGCCCAGGCTGGAGTGCAGTGGCGCGATCTCGGCTCACTGCAAGCTCCGCCTCCCGGGTTCACGCCATTCTCCTGCCTCAGCCTCCCGAGTAGCTGGGACTACAGGCGCCCGCTACCACGCCCGGCTAATTTTTTGTATTTTTAGTAGAGACGGGGTTTCACTGTGTTAGCCAGGATGGCCTCGATCTCCTGACCTCGTGATCCGCCCGCCTCGGCCTCCCAAAGTGCTGGGATTACAGGCGTGATTAGCCAGCTTTTGAAGGCAAAGAAAAAGTTATTGAAGGACATTAAAAGTGCTACTCCTGTGAACATCCAAAAGATAATAAAGTGAAATAGGCTTATTGCTGGTATAGACAAAGTTTCAGTAATCTGGACAGAGGATCAAACCAGCCACATCATTCCCTTCAGACACAGCCCAATTCAGGGCAAAGCTTTATCTCACTTCAATTCTATGAAGGCTGAAAGAAGTGAGGAAGCTGCAGAAAAAAAAGAGTGGAAGCTAATAGAGGTTGGTTCATGAGGTTTAAAGAAAGAAGCCATCTCCATAACCTAAAAGTGCAAGGTGAAGCAGTAAGTGCTGCAGAAAGTTAATCAGAAGATCTAGTTACTTGATGAGGGTGGCTATATTAAATAATGAATATTCAACGTAGACCAAACAGCCTTATATATTAAAAGAAGATGCCATCTAGAGTTTTACTGTTAGAAAGAAGTCAATATCGGCTTCTAAGCTTCAAAGGACAGGCTGACTCTCTTGTTAGGGCCTAATGCAGCTGACCACTTTAAGTTGAAGCCAATGCTTATTTACCATTTAAAAATTCCAAGGCTCTTAAAAAATATGCCAAATATACTCTGCATATGCTCTATAAATGGAAGAACAAAGCCTGGATGACAACATATTTGTTTACAGTATAGTTTACTGAATATTTTAAATCCACTGTTGAGACCTACTGCTTAGAAAAAAGACATTTCTTTCAAAGTATGGCTGCTCATTGACAATTCATCTAGACACCCCAGAGCTCTGAAGGAGGTGTACAGGGAGATTAATGTTGTTTTCATGCCTGCTAATACCACATCCATTCTGCAGTCCATAGATCAAGGAGTAATTTTGACTTTCAAGTACTATAGTTTAATAAAAATATTTTATAAGACCATAGTTTATGTAGATAACAATTCTTTGGTGGATTTGGGAAAAAAATACTGAAAACCTTCTGGAAAGAATTCATCATTATAGATTTCATTAAGCACACTTGTGATTCATGAGAGGAGGTCAAACCATCAAATCTAACAGAAGTTGATTCCAAACCTCATGCATGACTTTGAGAGGTTTAAGACTTAAGTGGAGGAAGTAACTGAAGTTATGGCAGAAACAGAAAGCATCCTAGAATTAGAAGTGGTGCCTGAATATGTGACTAAAATGCTGCAATCTCATCATAAAACTTGAACAGATCAGTAGTTGCTTATTATGGATGATCAAAGAAAGTGGTTTGTTGAGATGAAATTTACTCCTAGTAAAGATGCTATGAACATTGTTGACATGACAGCAAAGGGTTTAGAAAGTTACATAAACTGATCATGTAGTGTCAGAGTTGAATAGAATTGACTCCAATTTTGAAAGAAGTGGTACTGTGAGTAAAATGCTATCAAAAAGCATCACATGCCACAGATAAATGTTTCATGAAAAGAAGAATCAATTGATGCGACTAACTTTATTGTTCTCTTATTTTAAGAAATTGCCAGAGCCACCCCAACTTTCAGCAATCACAAATGAGATCAGATAGCAGCCATCAACATAGAGGCAAGATCTTCCACAGCAAAAAAATTATGACTCACTGAAGGGTTGGACAGTTGTTAGTGAAATAAAGTGTGTTTTTGTTGTTGTTGTTGTTGTTTTAATTTTTGGAGACAGAGTCTCACTCTGTCACCCAGGCTAGAGTGCAGTGGTGCAATAGTGACTCACTGAAGCTTTGAACTGCTGGGCTCAGGTGATCTTCCCACCTCAATCTCCTGAGTAGCTGGGACCACAGACATGTGCCACCACACCCAGCTAAGTTTTTGTATTTTTTTATAGAGACAGCATTTCGTCATGTTGCCAGGCTGATCTCGAATTTCTGGGCTCAAACAATTCTGCCTTGTCCTCCTAAAGTGCTAAGATTACAGGCTTGAGGCACAGTGCCAGGCCAGGTGTTTTTAAATTAAAGTATATACATTGTTTTCTTAGACATAATGCTATTGCACATTTAATAGACTATGGTATAGTGTAAAAGTAACTTTTATACACCCTGGGAAAGCAAAATTTAAAAAAGTGACTAGCTTTATTTTGATATTTGTTTCATTGCAATGGTCTGGAACCAAACCCACAATATTTCTGAGGTATGCCTGTGTATAAAAGGGCACGATGGCCAACTAGATGCAGCCAGAAAGTGCTGCTTGCACCAAGTGAGACTGAATCATCTTGTAAACCACCATAATTTGGACAGTTTTTTGGAAATAAAAGGCTGAGAATGTATAGAGAGGTGATGTTGAAGCTGAGGTTGAAGAGAGAGGAAACTGGTAATCCTCCACGCATTCCCAAACACTAGATCTAGTTCCTGGCCCCAAATGGCTTCTGGGAAAGGGATGAAGAGGGAACTGGGGGATGGTTCCCTCTTGCCATGGAACTCTGAGATCCTAGCTGCAGGATACCTCATGTCATCCATGGATGTGTGAGCTGGTAGGGAGATCTCCTTAGGGAGCAGGCAGCGACAGTCCCTCAGATGGCACAGAGCCCAGGAGCTTTTGCTTGCTGGGCAGCACCAACAGACAGTCATCAGAGACGCTCATCCCCTAGGTTCCCCATCCCTTTTCAGGAGGCACTGCCCAAGTTTACCTGAGCCAGGAGAAAGTGGGGCCGGCTTCCCTGTTGTACTAGACAGGATCTGTTCTGCAAGCCCTCCTGTCCACCAGCCCATCCTTTGGCCCATGTCTAGCTACCCCAGAAAACAGATGCACAGTGTAGCCTCCATGGCCCAGCACGAGTACACTGCTACACCTGAGTACATTATCAGAGAACCAGGAGTACACGGAATCCTCCAATGCAGCTGGAACCCAACCCCAAGCCATGGGATTTCCTGGTGCCCCTAGGGGGTGCAGCATGCAGTTCAGGAGTGCAGAGCTGCAGTCTGTGGCCAGCACTCAAGCAGAGGAGGAGCCCTTATCCTGAGAGCACTGAGAGAGGCAAGATGTGCAGGTTCCCAGGCTGGAGAGGGAGCAAAGCATTCTTCCCTCCACAGGGCTGGTCCAGAAAGGGTGTGGGACATCTCCCTGCCACAGTCTGTGCCCAAGGGGGCCCCATGGCCTGGAACATCTAACAAAAGAAATGCAAGCACAGCGCCAGTGATTGGAGGAGGGTCCCCCAAGTCCCTTGAATGGATCTGGTGAGGGAAACATCTTTCTCCCTGCCCCTACTGCAGAAAATACCTGTTAACATGAGGAAGTACAAAAGAGCCATATGGCTGGGTATTAGCCTGGCTACTGGCCATTACTCTTAAGCACCGTCTACTGGATCACAGCCCAAACAGCACCAAAAATTATCCCACTAATATGTATACCTGTAAAACCAAGCACAAGAATTCATCCACAAATAAAGATCCTGTACAGCACCTTGGCCCTCTGAAAGTATCCAGGAATGAAGCCAACTGACTATACTCAACTTACAGCATAGCTTTAACACCAACTGTCCCAGATGACAAAAAATCAGCACAAGAAATCTGGCAATTAAAAGAGCCAGAGTGTCCCCTTACCTTCAAACGAGTCCACTAGCTCTCTGGCAATGGTTCATAACCAGTCTGAAATGACTGAAATAACAGAAATAGAATACAGAATCTGGATGGCAAGGGAGCTCATCAAGATTCAGAAGAAAGTGGTAACACAATACAGGGAAACCAAGGAATCCAGTAAAATTATCTAAGACCTGAAAGACAAAATAACCATTTTAAGAAAGAACTAAACTGAACTTCTGGAAAGGAAAAAGTCACTACAAGAATTTCAGAATACTATCAGAATTAGGAACAGCAGAAGAGGTCAAGCTGGGGAAGCAATATCAGAGCTTGAGTTCCACTTATTTGAATCAGCTCAGTCAGATAAAAATAAAGAAAAAGGAATTTAAAAAATGAACAAAATCTCTGATAAATACGAGATTATGAAAAGAGAACAAATCTGCTACTTATTGGCCTTCTTGAGAGAGAAAAAAGAGAATAAACAACTTGAAAAATATATTTGAGGATATAGTCCATGAAAATTTCCCTAATCTTGCTAGGAAGGTTGACACAAATCCAAGAAATAGAGAACCCTGGCTAGATGCTATAAAAAAATCACTATCCTCAAGGCATATATTCATCATATTCAGCATGGTCAAAGCAAAAGAAAAAATCTTGAAGGCAGCTAGAGAGAAGGGTCAAGTCACACACAGAGGAGACCCCATCAGGCTGGCAGCAGAACTCTCAGCAAAAACGTTGCAAGCCAGAAGAGAGTGCGGCCTTTTTTTCAGCATCCTTAAAGAAAAGAAATTCCAACCAAGAATTTCATATTCTGCCAAACTAAGCTGCATAAGTGAAGGAGAAATAAAATCCTCAGAAAACAAATGCTGAAGAAATGTGTTTCTACTAGACCAGCATTACAAGAGGCCCTTAAGGGAGTGCTAAACATAGAACCAAAAAAATGATACCTGCTACCATAAAAACACACAGCTACATAGCCCATAGGCACTATAAAGCTGCTACACAATAAAATCTGCATAACAACCAGCTAACAACATGATGAGAGGTTCAAAGTTACACACAACAATATTAACTTTCAATGTAAATAGCCTAAATACCACTCTTAAAAGACATAGAGTGCCAAGCTAGATAAAAAGCAAGACCAACCATCTGTTATCTTCAAGAGACCAATCTCACATGTAACAATACCCAAAGGCTCAAAGTAAAGGGATTAAGATCTACCATGCAAATGGAAAACAAATCAGCGTAGGAGTCACCACTATATTTATATCAAATAAAACAGACCTTAAACCAATAAAAATTAAGGGCAATGAAAGACATTAAATAATGATAAAGAGTAAAATTCCACAGGAAGACTTAATTATTCTAAATATGTAAGCACCCAATGTCACAGCAATGAGATTCAGAAAACAAGTTCGTAGAGATCTACAAAGAGATTTAAACGTCACACAATGACAGTGGGAGACTTTAACGCCCCACTGACAGTGTTAGACACATTATCAAGGCAGAAAACTAAGAAACTCTGGATTTACAATTGACACTTGACCAATTGGAGCCAATAGACATCTACAGAACACTCCAACAACCAACCACAGAATATACATTTTTCGTATCTGTGCATGGAACATATTCTAAGATTGACCACATACTTGGTCATAATACAAGATTCAATAAATTCAAAAAAATTAAAATCATACCAAGCATACTCTCAGACAACAGAGCAATAAAAATAGAAATCAATATCAAGATCTCTAAAAACTATGCAAATACATGGAAATTAAATAACTTGTTTCTGAATAACTCCTGGGTGAACATCAATATTAAGGCAGAAATAAAACATTTTTTGAAATTAATGAAAATAGGGACACAACTTAGCAATATCTCTAGGATGCAACTAAAGCAGTATTAAGAGGGAAGTTTATAGCCCCAAATGCCCTCATCAAAAAGTTAGAAAGAGCTGAAACTAACAATCTTTGTACCAAAACGAACTAGCGGGGTGAAGAAAACCTGCCAAAACTAGCAGAAGAAAAGAAATAACTAAAATTAGAGAACTTAACGAAATTGAGATGCAAAAATTTATAAAAAGATCAAGGATATGAAAATCTTGTTCTTTGAAAAAAAAAAAAACAAGATTGGTAGACCACTAAGAAAAAAATCCATATAATTACAATCAAAAATGACAAAGATGACATTACAATTGATCACACAGAAATACAAAAGATCCACAAAGAATACTATCAACAACTCTATGCACAAAAATTAGAAAATCTAGAGGAAATTGACAAATTCCTGGAAACATACAATCTCCCAAAATTGAACAAGGAGGACTGAAACACTGAACTGACCAATATTTTGCTCTGAAATTGAATCAGTAATAATAATAATAAAAAAAACCAACTGAAAAAATTCCTAAGCAGATGGATTGACAGCCAAATTTTACTGGACATATAAAGAACTGGTATCAACACTGCTCAAACTATTACAAAAAAATAAAACAGAAGGGACTCCTCCATAACTCATTCTATGAAGCCAGCATCAGCCTAATACCAAAATCTGACAGAGACCCGACAAAGAAAGAAAACTTCAGGCCAATATCCCTGATTATCATAAATGCAAAATCCTCAACAAAATATTAGCAAACCAAATCCCGCAGTACAGGTGGCAGGCGCCACCGCGCCCAGCTAATTTTTGTATTTTTAGTAGAGACGGAGTTTCACCATGTTGGCCAGGCTGGTCTTGAACTCCTGACCTCCTGATCCGCCCGCCTTGGCCTCCCAAAGTGTTGGGATTACAGGCGTGAGCCACCACGCCAGGCTGATAAAATCCAACTTTGTTTCATGATAAAACCCTCAGCATTGTAGGCATTGGAGGAATATACCTAATATACCTTAAAATAATCCACCTTTGACAAACCTACAGCCAATATCATACTGAATGGGCAAAAGCTGGAACTATTCCTTTTTAGAACTGTAACAAGACAGGGATGCCCACTCTCACCACTACTATTCAACATAGTACTGTAAGTTCTAGCCAGGTCGATCAGGAAAGATAAAGAAATAAAAGGCATCCAAATAGGAAAAGAAAAATCAAAGTATCTCTTTTGCTGACAATATCATTTTATATGTAGAAAACCCTAAAGACACTATCAAATGACTACTAGAACTGATAAATGAGTTTAGCAAAATTTCAGTATATAAAATGAAAGCACAAAAATTAGTAGCATTTCTATACTACAATAATGCCCAGGCCGGGAGTCAAATCAAGAAAAAAATCCCATTTACATATCCACAAAGAAAATTAAATACCTTAGAATACAGCTAAATACGGAGATGAAAGAGCTCTTCGAGGAGAACTAAAAACACTGCTTAAAGACATCAGAGATGACATAAATAATTGGAAAAATATTCCATGCTCATAGGTTAAAAGAATCAATAGTAAAATGGCCATTCTGCCCAAAACAATTTACAGATTTAACACTACTCCTATCCAACAACTAACACCATTTTTCTAGAATTAGCAAAAACAAACAAAACAAACAAAAAAACCATTGTAAAATTTATATGGAATCAAAAAAAGTCCCCCAAATCCAAACCAATCCTAAGCATAAAGACTAAAGCTGAAGGAATCACACTACCTGAATTCAAACTATGCTGTAAGTCTATAATAACCAAACAGCATGTTACTGGTACAAAAACAGACACATAAACCAATGGAACTGAATAGAAAACTCAGAAATAAGGCTGCACACTTACAACCATATGATCTTTGAAAAGGCCATCAATAGCAAGCAATGGAGAAAGGATTTCCTATTCAATAAATGGTGCTGGGATAACTGGCTGGCCATATGCGGAAGAATGAAACTAGACCATTGCATTTCACTGTGTACAAAAATTAACTCAAGATACATTTAATTTTTTTTTTTTTTAAGAGAGGATGTCACTCTGTTGCCAGACTGGTGTGCAGTGGTACAATCGTGGCTTACTACAGCCTCAACCAACTGGACTCAGGTGATCCTCCTACCTCAGTCACCAGAGTTGCTGGGACCACAGGTATACATTACCATGCCCGGCTCATTTTTGTATTATTTTGTAGAAACGGAGTTTCACCATATTGCCAGGCTGGTCTCAAACTCCTGGGTTCAAATGATCTGCCTGTCTCGACTTCCCAAAGGGCTAGGATCACAGGTGTGAGCCACCATGCTCGGCAAAATCTAATATTTAAATGTAAGACTTCAGAGTATAAAAATCTTAGAAGACATGTAAAAAATACCCTTCTCAGCATCTGCCTTGGCAAATAATTTTTGGCTAAGTCCCCAACAGCAATTATACCCCCACCCAAAAATATAGACAAACTGGACCTAATTAAACTAAAAAAAGCTTCTGGACAGCAAAAGAAACTATCAAGAGAGCAAACAGACAATCTACCAAATGGGAGAAAATACTTGCAAACTATGTATAAGACAAAGGTCTGATATTCAGAATCTATAAGGAACTTAATTCAACAAGCAAAAACCAAATAACCCAATTAAAAATGGTCAAAGTAAACGAGCAAACACTTCTCAAAAGACAGAAAAGCAGCCAACAAACATGAAAAATATTTGCTCGACATCACTAATCATCAGATTAACTCAAATCAAATCCACAATGAGATACTATCTCACACCAGTCAAAATGGCTATTATTAAAAGTAAACTAACAAATGTTGGCAAGGTTGTAGAGAAAAAGGAACACATATGCACTGCTTATGGGAATGTATATTAGTTCAGCCACTGTGGAAAGTAGTTTGGGGATTTCTCAAATAACTTAAAACAGAGCTACCATTCAACCCAGTAATCCCTTTACTGGGTATATACCCACCCCCAAAAAATAAGTGATTTTACCAAAAAGGCACATACACTCGTAAGTTCATCACTGTGCTATTCACAATTGCGAAGACAGGGAATCAACCCATGTGCCCATCAATGGTAGATTGAATAAAGAAAATGTAGTACATATACCCCATGGAATACTATGCAGCCATAATATATAATAAAATTATGTCCTTTGCAGCAATGTGGATGGAACTAGAGGCCATAATCCTAAGCAAATTAATGCAGGAACAGAAGACCAAATACCATGTCTTCTCATTTATAATGGGAGCTAAACATTGAACACCCATGAACATAAACATGGAAACAATGGACACTGTGTAGACTGCTAGAGAGGTGAGGGAGGGAGGGAAGCAAGGTTCAAAAAACTATCTGTTGTGAACTATGCTCACCTCCTGAGTGCATTATACCCATGTGATAAAATACCCCCTGTATCTCAAATAAAATATACCCTATGTATCTAAAATAAAAATGAAAAAAAGGAATGCCCAGGATAGATTACTGAATAATGAGAAGCATAATGAGAGAAACTCTGTAGTTCAAGGCTACCCTGAACTTTTTAGCTACGGCAGAGTTCCTAACCAAGTACCACTTCATGAATAACCCCAGCCAATATTATGGGAACAAATACTACCCAGCTGATTCCCACTTTAATTCTTAACCCACAGAATTAAAACGTATGCTTAATTATTTTCTATATTTTAAAATATATATGACAGCTTAGTACTTGCATTCTTACAAGTTAGGAGAAACAAAAACAAGTAACATATTGAAAATTTCACATAAGAAAAAGTATGAAAAAATAATAAAGATGGGGCAAAGTGTAAGAATTACAAAATGGGCATAATTTTAATATAATAGCCAGAAGAAGCCTGGACCAGAAAGTACCATCTGAATCAGCACCTAAGAAAACCGAAAGAGTGAGTCCTGCTGATGTGTAAACGTGTATTACTGTATACATTATTAAAATGACTTTGGTTTTTACCCCAAGATTGGGATATAATGGAGAATTTTTAGCATAGGTATGTTTGGCAGTCAGCTCTTCTTTTCAAAGTCTTTAAGGAACTCAGCTTCCTTATATCATCTTCAGCACTGGTAACTTCATGGCCAAAGATGAGTAACTTACGTGATATGACCTCATGCAGCAAATGGTGGCACAATTTTACTGCAAGAACAGTTGGACAGTCAAATGTCCAGCAGCAATTCTATTATTATGAAAGGAGATAATAGATTGTGGTGGACAGCTAGAATAGATTTAGGTGGACAGCTGAAGTCATTACCATATACATGACAATTTAAGCCACAGTACTACATGAGATGAACAAGGGAGTAAATGTGAAATATATGAGGATAATACAAGTAAATGACTATAAAAAAGCTCCAAATAGTCTACATCTCTGTGATTTTGATCATATTAAGTGCAATGAACCCATGACAGATAGAATTTAAATAAGGTCTTGATAAAAAATTGACGGTATGAATGTGATTTCTCTTTGTTGAAAATGAGACCCCCTCCTTATACTAATAATATTATAAATAAATATACTGCATGGAAATGAAGAATGTACTATTAATACATAATCCAGGTATAGCCTAGATTTGAGCTTGTTAGTTTTACATTGGGTGGTAAGGGATGGGTAACATTCAGGTGGGCTTTGAACAGAGAACTGAATATGAGTGGTAAGTTAAAGAACTTGAAGAGAACTTGGGAGTTTAAGAAGCTCTTGGGACTCATATCTGTATTTTACCTATTGGCATAATCACAGCAATGCAAAAAAAATGGTGCTCATTAATCCATATTATTTAACCTGTTCTAATTGTGGGAGGCTCTAAGAAATAGTCAAGTTCATTCCTTTGATGATTATTATAAAAGTATAATTATAAAAATTAATTGGGCTATTTACAATTGAGCAAACCTGGTTATTTAATTGCTCTCTCTGCACCTTATTTCAAACCAAAATGAACCACACAAAGCATCAAAGTGTAGGGGAGAGTCAACATATTTTCCTCTTAAGCTGAGCAGACAATACCTCTTTGTTTTCCCTTAGTAATGTTTGTGGAGTTCTGGAATTATGGGTTTACCTCACTGTCAAACTTCTTTCTTTACATGCCCAAACATTCACACTAGAATCCTTTCCCAGAAGCATCATCCAGTTTTTATAGGAAGCATTTTTTGGCTGCTTATTTGCATACCAAAGCCATGGCTGTTGGCCACACGGGGAGAGGAGATAAACCCAGTGGGGCCAGCTGTTCTAAACAGATTTTTAATTAATTATTTTGATTGTTACTCCATTTCCATGTGTCAATCTTCTATTTGTTTATACTAAGCATGCAGCTTCTTTGGGGTTTATTTGAAAATGACCACTATTACCTCTAATATTTGTTGATTAAATCAATTTAGTGCTATCTTCCTTGTAACTTTTAAGAACCCCAAAAATTTGATTTGCTGAGGATATTCCTTCTGGTTCTTAACAACTATTAGATTTTTATTAATTTCTTTAAATATCTTTCTGTCATATAAAAGGAGACTTTTGAGAGACTAAATATCTCAAAACCAGCTTTACTCGGTTTGATTCTCAGTTCCATCAGTTAATAACTTGTAAACTTAGGAAAACTAACCATTTTAAGTCTAAGTTTCTTCAATTCTAAAACATGATAATATTTACTACTTCAGAGTAATTATTTTGGGGATGGCTTTGAATAATTAGGCTGGTCTCTAGGATATAGTAAGTATTCAGTAGATATAGATTCTAAAATATTTTTATTATTGTAAGACATATTACAGTCCAATTTGTTAAAACTAGGAACTATCTTTTTTTTTATACTTTACTTTTTTTCAGAGAATTTTCTAATGTGTCATTAGGGTACCAAGGAGATGTAGTTTACTAATCGGTTTGCTAACGTATATAGATGAAGTAGAAGTGTTTAGAAATAAACACAAAAATACACAACACTCACCAACACACAAACACAATATCAGATAATTGGACAAAAGTGCAGTTTGAGACCGATTTCAATTATAATTGTGCTGCAGGTCAGAAATAAAACCTGTAGCTCTTCCTGAAGATAAACATTGAGGTAAAAACAAGCAGTTGGTTGAAAAATACATTTGTATCACCATTAAAATGATAGTGACCAATGTTTTCTTGAGTATCTTCATCTTGTATGTAGTGGAAAAGCTAAATTTCATCATATATTTTCTCTCATATTTATTATAACAAACAACAGTGTACATTAAACTATTCAATATTCATCTCCTCATCATGTGGAATTAATATCTATCATTTTTGTAGGTTTGTGTGTGTACAAGGCATTATTCAGATTTGCATAAGTAGTTTGCAAAGTATGTATTGTCTTTTCTTCCCCGTAAAAATTGTTTTATTACTTTTCCTGCATTTGGAAGACCTGTTGCATTATTAATGTCTACATACATAATCTTCATATACTAATATATATTTTTTAAGTTTCCAAACACTTATTTTATTAAACAGAGACTGTGGACATAGTAAGTATTCAGTGTTTATTAGAAAAAACTTGCTTTTTATAAGATTTTTCTTTCATTGTTTCTCTTTATACATTCTCTTCTATATAGCCTTTACTTGGGATGCTGTATTCATTTAAATTACTTCTAAGGAAATGTTTCTACTGTAGAAAAGAGTCACAAAGTCAAAGTCATTATCATAAAAAAGAGCATATATCTCAAGTTGAGGTGTGTTTTTTTCCAACATTGCAGTCCTCCTTTTAGTTGCCTGCTTTCAAATTCAGCTTCATGCCAATAATTATCTGCAAAAAATTTTTTTTCAAATTGCAACACAAGGTAAAGTCCTCAAGCTATATTATTCTACACAATTCATTCTCATTTACTCAGGCCTTACTTATCTAGACTTCAGGTTCAACAACATATCATAGTTTACAGTTTTATGAATGAGTGGAGTCATTTTATGGGCTCTAAGAATCCATAGAGAGAGAAGTCTAGGATAAGTACAACCTCAGTCAGTTCAGATTGCTGTAACAGAATACTGTAGAATGGGTAGTTTAAACAACAGACGTTTATTTCTCGTGAGTCTGAAAATGAGGAAGTTCAAGATCATGATGTTGGCATATCTGGTATCTGGTGATAGCACTCTTCCTGATTTGCAGATGGCTGTCTTCTTATACCCTCACATGGCCAAAAGGAAAATCATATCTCTCATATTTCTTCTTATAAGGGTACTAATTTCATTTATTAAGGCTTCACAATTATGACCTAATTACCTCCCAAAGGCTCTACCTTCTAATAACATCACATTGGGGATTAAAAGTTCAACATATACATTTGAAGGGACACAAATATAGTGTCCGTAATAAGTACTACCCTTTTTCTGTAGGATAGACTTTTCCATTCCCTCTTCCATGCAAATGTGTGTTTTATACCATCTTGCTGAAAGAACTTGATTTTAATCTTTTGAGATACATAAGATTGTTGTGATTTTTATAGAAGACTAAAAATTCATGCATCAGAAGCCTACGCTACAATTATTTATTAAATACTGTTTGTGAGCTACTGTAATTTTAGTTATTCTGAAAATATTTGAATTTTTTCACTTAACAGAACTTTCAGTCATGTTGAGAAATGAGAAAACAGTTAAAATTTTCTAAAATTTTACACATAACCCTCCCACAGATGTATAAATATATATATCCCAAATAAACTTTTCTCTTCAAATGTGTAGAATATTTTTTATTGAGTTAAAGTGATTGTTCAGTGATTTAGAACACAGCTACTTGGCAAAACTACCTAACTGGAACAAAAAATGAAAATTCAAAAACAAGAAATAAGCACAACAAACAAAACAACATGAAATCAGTCTTTGAGCAGCCAAAAATTATGTTGTGAAGTCTAAAACTCAAACATTTTGTTTATAGCATTCTTTAAAGACTGTGGTTTTCTTTAAGACAATTTGACAAGTAACAAATTTGTTTGCAATGTGTGGAACTCACTCAGATCCTGATTAGAAGAAAACAACAGCAATAAAATGATTTGTAATAATAGAGGAAATTGAACATTATTGAGGTCTGAAAAATTATTATTAATGTGGAGCATATTATATGGCTTTGTTCATAAAAATCTTTATATATTAGAAATATACTGAAAATTTATGGTTGAAATTATATGTACCATCATAGCCTTGAATTTGCTTTAAAATTGTCCAGACATGGGAAAATAAATGGTGGAGGTGGGATGGACATTTTATTTTCAATGCAACGAGAAAAGTGCAAATGATATTTGACCCATTAGTTGTTAATCTTTGCACAATATGTTGATCATAAACAGAGTTTTGGAATTGAAATGTATACAAAAGTTTGGAGAAGAGGAGTGACAGTGACTTCAACACACAAAAATATAAATAATGTGAGTCCCTAAATAGTTATTTTTATATGCAGATATCTAAACACCTCCCAAAACTTTGGATTCATATGTAAAATTTTAAAAGAAATATTTCTAATTAATGTCTCAAAAAAATCTCATAATTGTCTTAATTTTGATACCAACACAATAAGAAGTTTTGAGAACCCTTTCTATACATAAGCAATCAAGTAAAGAAAATTTTATATTGGTTTATAAAATATGAGAGATAATGTTTAAACTACAGCACAGTCAATTCCTTAGTCTTAGATTTTCAAAGTAGCTGGTTAATAAATCCTCTTTCTCTTCTCATTGACAAGCAAATAGCAGTTTATTCTTACCATATTAGCCGAAACATATGAAGTTACACAATTTTATGAAAATAGATTTGATTTAAATGGCAAGCCTAGTCACACTGAAGGAAAAGTGCTTCTGCTATCACACATACATTTCTTGGAGGATTGGTCATTATTTGCAGGACTCCTTCCCAAATTACTAGTCAATTTTTTTGGGGTCAAGAAAGTCAGTGTAAGAGATATCACGCTATTGACCCTGATTTAAATCATGCCAAGAATTACTGGGAATGTAGGACTCTTATTGTATCTATCAATGACTACCCACATTTAGCCAGTTTTGTTCTTTCTTATTCAAACATGGAACAAAACATTGGAGTAATACATATGAATACTGATAATTCATTTGTTTTTCTTGGTGAATGTCATCCCTTTTTCTTTGACTATTAACATACATTATCTTACTTTCTATAAGACAGCCCAAGAAATAATCAGAAAAAGGGCTTAGCAGTTAATAGGATATCTTTCTGTAGCAATGTCACTACAATTAAGGCTTACTATTACTATATTGGACTAAAGCTCTAAAGTATTTTCCAAAAAAATACTGGTTTTTTTTTTTTGGTATTGTTTTTAATTCTAGAGCAGCTTCATAAAGAACCTATTTACAGAAATAAGAGCAGGGATATAGTACAATGTAATACAAGATAACAACATCAGGAAGCAATTATTACCACTAGGAGTGGCTAGTTACTGGGAGATATTGTGGGTACGTGTGGGGGGATCTTTTGACATAAATTGTGGTCTTTTGTAGAAGGATGAAGTGAATGTACAGATAGCAACCTAGCAGTTAATGAATTGGGAGGAATGGCCTCAATTTCATCCTGCCTTTCAATTTCTTGTTGTGGATCCTAATAGCCAAACTCAAAGGAAGTCAGAAAGCAAGGAAACACTTCAATGTAGTGCATACGGGTCATTCTACTAAGGCATGAAATAAAGTGAAAAAGGGATGGGTAGGCATCTAAAGGGGAAAATTGAAGATATCTTGCACACACTGTGCCTGCCTTCATGAATGACTGGACCCAAGAGATCGCATGTAGTTGATAGTAATCTCCTTTTGTCTATTTCTTGGTTTTCCTCTCCTCTGTGTTGATATTATTTTCAGGAAAATTCTCCCTATACGTTGGAATTTTTTTCTACTATTTTTTCTCTATTTTTAAATTTCTACTCTTTTTTTAGACTTTCCCCCAACATTTGGATTGTACTATAGTCGATCAGTCCCTGAAACCAAAGACTGTATTATTTCAATGTGCTATAACAAAAAAAAAAAGTCTCAGAGAAGAGACTCTGATTGATTATGCTTAGTTTCTGTGCACATTTCTCAACCAATCACTGTAAATGAAAAAATATAGTGCTATGTCTGGCCACAGCAGTGTTCCTGGATCATGCCTAGGGCTTACAGGAATAAAGAAAGGAGGAGTAACTCAATCACAACAATGTGTATTAAGACAGTTCCTCAAAAACAAAAACAAAAACAAACAAACAAAAACAGATGCTACCACCACATGAAGGGGAAAGGGAATTTGGGGTAGGCAAAAACAATATTCATTAAATGTTCTATTTTTACCCATTACATTTCGCTCACTGTGCCTCAAATAAATGTTCTGACAATAGTAAGATGGGTTTATACTTTTGATAGGGCTTAGGTATTTTATTTTTTAAATAAAAGCTGTTCTAAACGATTCTTATTTGAAGTCAAGGTTGATAACCAGTTATATAGTTATTCATTCATAAAAATTTCAAAAATAATTATATTAGTGAAAGTTGCATTTGTTCTCAATAATAAGCTATCTAATTTAAATCCAAATAATATCTTATGGTAAGGAAGTTACTATTTCAACTAATAAGCAGCCATGTTTATATCCTGAGATTAAAAGGCCACCATTAAGGGGTAATAAAAATGTCTGAATAAGGTAAACACTTTATAAAGTACATACCTTTGAGGAGTACTGAGCTATCTGGAAATGTAGGCTGCAACATGAAACATAAGATTCCCTCAACTTTAGTGCAGTTCTAAGGTTTTTCTTTGATTTCTTAATATTGTTTAATGAGTATACTTATTAAATACCTAGCAGAACAAATAACTTTGATAGATGATAAAGGAAGTATAAATGTTGAAACACCCCTTGCCCATTCCATATACCAAAATAAAAATTTATACAAACATGAGGGGATATTAGTGAGAGAGAGATTAATTCTTATAAAGTCAATCAGTAATTTATTGAAGGAAATGAGATTTGCATCAATCCTGTAAAAGAAGATATTTAGAGAGTTGATACAGTCTATATTCACAAGATTTTATATAAATTCCAACCTATGTTACATGAATAATAAATATTTAGGAAGTGAATACATTCACATATGAATAAATTAATGCACAATAATATTGAAAAGATTTTTTTGTTCTCTTTTTTTATTATACTTTAAGTTTCCAGATACATGTGCAGAATGTGCAGGTTTGTTACATAGGTATACATGTGCCATGGGGATTTGTTACACCCACCAACTCGTCATCTACATTAGGTGTTTCTCCTAATGCTATCCCTCCCCTAGCCCCAACCCCCCAACATGCCCTGGTATGTGATATTCCCCTCCCTGTGTCCATGTGTTCTCATTGTTCAACTCCAACCTATGAGTGAGAACATGCGGTGTTTGATTTTCTGTTCTTGTGTTAGTTTGCTGAGAATCATGGTTTCCAGCTCCATCCATGTCCCTGCAAAGGACATGAACTCATCCTTTTTTGTGGCTGCATAGTATTCCATGGTGTACATGTGCCACATTTTCTTTATCCAGTCTAGCACTGATGGGCATTTGGGTTGGTTCCAAGTCTTTGCTATTGTGAAGAGTGCTGCAATAAACACATGTGTGCATGTGTCTTTATAGTAGAACGATTTATAATCCTTTGGGTATATACCCAGTAATGGGAATACTGGGTCAAATAGTATTTCTGGTTCTAGATCCTTGAGGAATCACCACACTGTATTCCACAATGGTTGAACTAATTTACACTCCCACCAACAGTGTAAAAGCATTCCTATTTCTCCACATCCTCTCCACCATCTGTTGTTTCCTGACTTTTTAATGATCACTATTCTAACTGGTGTGAGATGGTATCTTATTGTGGTTTTGACTTGCATTTCTCTAATGATCAGTGATGATGAGCTTTTTTAGATATGTTTGTTAGCTGCATAAATGTCTTCTTTTGAGAAGTGTCTGTTCATATCCTTTGCCCACTTTTTGATTTTTTTTTCCTTTAAATTTGTTTAAGTTATTTGTAGATTCTGGATATTAGCCCTTTTTCAGATGGATAGATTGCAAAAATGTTCTCCCATTCTGTACGTTGCCTGCTCACTCTGATAATAGTTTCTTTTACTGTGCAGAAGCTCTTTAGTTCAATTAGATCTCATTTGTCAACTTTGGCTTTTGCTGCCATTGCTTTTGGTGTTTTAGTTATGAAGTCTTGGCCACGCCTATGTCCTGAATGGTATTGCCTAGGTTTTCTTCTAGGGTTTTTATAGTTTTAGGTCTTACATTTAAGTCTTTAATCCATCTTGAGTTAATTTCTGTAAGGTGTAAGGAATGGGTCCAGTTTTAGTTTTCTGCATAAGGCTAGCCAGTTTTCCCAACACCATTTATTAAATAGGGAATCCTTTCCCCATTACTTTTGTCAGGTTTGTCAAAGATCAGATGGTTGTAGATGTGTGGGGTTATTTCGAGGCCTCTGTTCTGTTCCATTGGTCTATATATCTGTTATGGTACCAGTACCATGTTGTTTTGGTTACTGCAGCCTTGTAGCATAGTTTGAAGTCAGGTAGCATGATGCCTCCAGCTTTGCTCCTTTTGCTTAGGATAGTCTTGGCAATTGGGCTCCTTTTTGGTTCCATATAAAATGTAAGGTAGTTTTTTCCAATTCTGTGAAGAAAGTCAAGGGTAGCTTGATGAGGATAGCATTGAATCTATAAATTACTTTGGGCAGTATGGCCATTTTCACAATATTGATTCTTCCTACCCATGAGCATGGAATGTTTTTCCATTTGTTTGTGTTCTCTCTTATTTCCTTGAACAGTGGTTTGTAGTTCTGCTTTAAGAGGTCCTTCACATCCCTTGTAAGTTGTATTTCTAGGTATTTTATTCTCTTTGTAGCAATTGTGAATGGGAGTTCACTCATGATTTGGCTCTCTGTCTATTATTGGTGTATAGGAATGCTTGTGATTTCTGCACACTGATTTTGTATATGAGACTTTGCTGAAGTGGCTTAACCTGATAAGCCACTTCAGCAAAGTTGAGGCGATGGGGTTTTCTAAATATACAATCATGTCATCTGCAAACCGAGGCAAATTTCACTTCCTCTCTTCCTATTTGAATACCCTTTATTTCTTTCTCTTGCCTGATTGCCCTGGCCAGAACTTCCAATACTATGTTAAATAGGAGTGGTGAGAGAGGGCATCCTTGTCTTGTGCCAGTTTTCAAAGGGAATGCTTCCAGTTTGCCCATTCAGTATGATATTTGTTGTGGGTTTGTCATAAATACCTCTTATTATTTTGAGATACGTTCCATCAATACCTAGTTTATTGAGGATTTTTAGCATGAAGGGGTGTTGAATTGTATTGACGGCCTTTTCTGCATGTATTGAGATAATCATGTGGTTTTTGTCATTTTCTGCATGTCAATACATGCAGAAGTACATACATTTCTGCATGTATTGAGATAATCATGTGGTTCTGTTTATGTGATGGATTACACTTATTGATTTGCATATGTTGAACCAGCCTTGCGTCCCAGAGATGAAGCCAACTTGATCATAGTGGATAAGCTTGTTGATGTGCTGCTGGATTTGGTTTGCAGGATTTTAATGAGGATTTTCACGTTGATGTTCATCAGGGATATTGGCCTGAAATTTTCTTTTGTTTTGTCTCAGCCAGGTTTTTTTATTAGGATGATGTTGGCCTCATAAAATGAGTTAGGGAGGAGTCCCTATTTTTCTATTGTTTGGAATGGTTTCAGAAGGGATGGCACCAGCTCCTCTTTGTACCTCTGGTAGAATTTGGCTGTGCATCCATCTGGTCCTGGGCTTTATTTGGTTGGTAGGCTATTAATTACTGCCTCAATTTCAGAACTTGTCATTGGTCTATTCAGGGATTCAACTTCTTTCTGGTTTAGCCTTGGGAGGGTGTACGTGTTCAGGAACTTATCCATTTCTTCTAGATTCTCTAGTTTTATTTGCATAGAGGTGTTTATAGCATTCTCTGATGGTTATTTGTATTTCTGTGGGATCAGTGGTGATATCCCCTTTATCATGTTTTATTGTGTCTATTTGATTCTTCTCTCTTTTCTTCTTTATTAGTCTGGCTAGCAGTCTATCTAGTTTGTTAATCTTTCCAAAAAAACAGCTCCTGGATTCATTGATTTTTTAAAAATATTTTTTGTGTCTCTATGCCCTTCAGTTCTGCTCTGATTTTAGTTATTTCTTCTCTTCTACCAGCTTTTGAATTTGTTTGCTCTTGCTCCTCTAGTTCTTTTAATTGTGATGTTAGGGTGTTGATTTTAGATTTTTCCTGCTTTCTCCTGTGGCCATTTAGTGCTATAAATTTCCCTCTACACACTGCTTTAGCTGTGTCCCAGAGATTCTGGTACATTGTGTCTTAGTTCTCATTGGTTTCAAAGAACTTATTTATTTCTGCCTTAATTTTGTCATTTACCCAGTAGTCATTCAGGAGCAGGTTGTTCAGTTTCCATGTAGCTGTGTGGTTTTGAGTGAGTTTCTTAATCCTGAGTTCTAATTTGATTGCACTGTGGTCTGAGAGACTGTTTGCTATGATTTCCGTTCTTTTGCATTTGCTGAGGAGTGTTTTACTTCCAATTATTGGTCAATTTTAGAATAAATGTGATGTTGTGCTGAGAAGGATGTATATTCTGTTGATTTTGGGTGAAGAGTTCTGTAGATGTCTATTAGGTCTGCTTGGTCCAGAGCTGATTTCAAGTCCTGAATATGCTTGTTAATTTTCTGTCTCATTGATCTGTCTAATATTGACAGTGGGGTGTTAAAGTCTCCCACTATTATTGTGTGGGAGTCTAAGTCTCTTTGTAGGCCTCTAAGAACTTGCTTTATGAATCTGGGTGCTCCTGTATTGGGTGCATATATAGGATAGTTAGCTCTTCTTGTTGCATTGATCCCTTTACCATTATGTAATGCCCTTCTTTTTCTGTTTGGATCTTCATTGATTTAAAGCCTGTTTGATCAGGGACTAGGATTGCAACCCCTGTTTTTTTTTTTTTTTTTTTTGCTTTCCATTTGCTTGGTAAATGTTACTCCATCCCTTTATGTTGTACCTATGTGTGTCTTTGCACATGAAATGGGTCTCCTGAATACAGCACACCTAGGGGTCTTGACTCTTTATCCACTTTGCCAGTCTGTGTCTTTTAATTGGGGCATTTATCCCTTTTATATTTAAGGTTAATATTGTTATGTGTGAATTTGATCCTGTCATTATGATGCTAGCTGGTTATTTTGCCCATTAGTTGATGCAGTTTCTTCATAGTGTCAATGGTCTTTACAATTTGGTATGTTTTTGCAGTGGCTGGTACCAGTTTTTCCTTTTCATATTTAGTGCTTCTTTCAGGAGCTCTTTCAAGGCAGGCCTGATGGTGACAAAATCTCTCAGCCTTTGCTTGTCTGTAAAAGGTTTTATTTCTCCTTCACTTATTAAGCTTAGTTTGGCTGGAAATGAAATTCTGGGTTGAAAACTCTTTCTTTAAGAATGTTGAATATTGGTCCCCACTCTCTTCTGCCTTGTAGGCTTTCTTCAGAGAGTTCCACTGTTAGCCTGATGGGCTTCCCTTTGTGGGTAACCTGACCTTTCTCTCTGGCTGCCCTTAACATTTTTTCCTTCATTTCAACCTTGGTGAATCTGATGATTATGTGTCTTATAGTTGCTTTTCTCGAGGAGTATCTTTGTGGTGTTCTCTGTATTTCCTGAATTGGAATGTTGGCCTGTCTTGCTAGGTTGGGGAATTCTCCTGGATAATATCCTAAAGAGTGTTTTCCAACTTGGTTCCATTCTCCCTGTCACTTTCAGGTACACCAATCAAACATAGGTTTGGTCTTTTCACACAGTCCCATGTTTCTTGGAGGCTTTGTTCGTTCCTTTTCATTCTTTTTTGTCTAATCTTGTCTTCATGCTTTATTTCATTGAGTTGATCTTCAATCTCTCATATCGTTTCTTCTGCTTGGTTGATTTGGCTATTGATACTTGTGTATCCTTCACGAAGTTCTCATGCTGTGTTTTTCAGCTCCATCAGGTCATTTATGTTCTTCTCTATACTGGTTATTCTAGATAGCTATTCCTCTAACCTTTTTCCAAGGTTCTTTGCTTCTTTGTATTGGGTTAGAACATGCTCCTTTAGCTCAGAGAAGTTTATTACACACCTTCTGAAACCTACTTCTGTCAATTTGTCGAACTCATTCTCCGTCCAGTTTTGTTCCCTTGCTGGAGAGGAGTTGTGATCCTTTGGAGGAGAAGAGGTGTTCCTGTTTTTGGAATTTTCAGCCTTTTTGTGCAGGTTTTTCCTCATCTTCATGGATTTACCTACCTTTAGTCTTTGATGTTGGTGACCTTCTGATGTGGTTTCTGTGTAGAAGTCCTTTGTGTTGATGTCGATGCTATTCCTTTCTGTTTGTTAGTTTTCCTTCTAACAGTCAGGCCCCTCTGCTGCAGGTCTGCTGGAGTTTGCTGGAGGTCCACTCCAGACCCTATTTCCCTGGGTATCACTAGTGGAGGCTGCAGAAGAGCAAAGATTGCTGCCTGTTCCTTCCTCTGGAAGCTTCATCCCAGAATGGCACCTGCCAGATGCCAGCCAGAGCTCTCCTGTATGAGATGTCTGTTGATCCCTGCTGGGAGGTGTTCTTCCAGTCAGGAGGCACAGTGGTCAGCGACCCGCTTTAGGAGGCAGTCTGTCCCTTAGCAGAGCTTGAGCACTGTGCTGTGAGATCCACTGCTCTCTTCAGAGTCAGCAGGCAGGAACATTTAAGTGTGCTGAAATTGTGCCCACAGCCGCCCCTTACCCCAGGTGCTCTGTCCCAGAAAGACGGGAGTTTTATCTATAAGCCCCTGACTGGGGCTGCTACCTTTCTTTCAGAGATGCTCTGCCCAGACAGGAGGAACCTAGAGAGGCAGTCTGGCTACAGCAGCGTTGCTGAGCTGTGAGGCCTCCACCTAGTTCAAACTTCCTGGTGGCTTTGTTTCGACTGTGAGAGGTAAACCACCTACTCAAGCCACAGTAATGGCAGACGCCCCTTCCCCCTCCAAGCTCAAGTATCCCAGGTTGACTTCAGACTGCTGTGCTGGCAGCAAGAACTTCAAGCCAGTGGATCTTAGCTTTCTGGGCTCTAGGGGGTGGGATCCACTGAGCTAGACCACTTGTTTTCTTGGCTTCAGCCCCCTTTCAAAGGGAGTGAACAATTCTGTCTTGCAGGCATTCCAGGTGCCACTGGAGTAAGAAAAAATACTCCTGCAGCTAGCTCGGTGTCTGCCTAAATGGTCACCCAGTTTTGTGCTTGAAACCCAGGGCCCTGGTGGCATAGGCACCCGAGGGAATCTCCTGGTCTGTGGCTTGCAAAGACCATGGGAAAAGCATAGTATCTGGGCTGGAGTGCACTGTTCCTCATGGCACAGTCCCTCACAGCTTTCCTTGACTAGAGGATGGAGTCCCCTGACCCCTTGTGCTTCCTGGGTGAGGCGCTGCCCCACCCTGCTTTGGCTCGTCCTCCATGGGCTGCACCCACTTTTAACCAGTCCCAATCAGATGAGCCAGGTACCTCAGTTGGAAATGTGGAAATCACCTGCCTTCTGCATTGATCTTGCTGGGAGCTGCAGACCGAAGCTGTTCCTATTCAGCCATCTTGCAAGCCACCCAGAAAAGTTTTTAAGTCAGGTATAAAAAATGGCATAAAGGTTTGGAACTGGGAAACAAGTGGTATGTTTAGAGAAGAAAAAAGATCCAGACAGACTGGGAGTGGTGGCTCACGCCTGTAATCCTAGCACTTTGGGAGGCTGAGGCAGGTGAATTACCTGAGCTCAGGAGTTCAAGACCAACCTGGGCAACATGGTGAAACCCTGTCTCTACTAAAATATAAAACATTAGCCAGGCATGGCGACATATGCCTGTAGTCCCAGCTACTCAGGAGGCTGAGGCAGGAGAATTGTTTGAACCCGGGAGGCAGAGGTTGTAGTGAGCCAACACTGCACCACTACACTCCAGCCTGGGTGACAGAGTGAGACTCCATCTCCAAAAAAAGATCCAGACAACTAGAATATGATCTTTTACTTACCTTAGATGTGGGCCATTAATGGTCATCTGAGTTTATTCTCTACTTTTCATTATTTCATCAAGATAGTGACATTAGCTTGGAACATTTCTTCTGTAATGAGTTGTGTTTTCCTGAATGCATTTACTCTTAGGCTTTTCTCAAGAAAGCACACGAACTGGCTCTTTTTTTTTTCTTTCTACTCTGAAAGGAATGAGAGACACTTATCCTTTAAACACTCCCTAAGGTTACTAATAATGGAGAGAGGATATAATTGTGCCTACACTGAACAAATTGCTAGCTGAAATGTCATTTTATAGCAGGCCAATGAAAGACTTTACCCAGTTTTCTTGCCTCAGTATAAAGAAAAGCACCATCAAACATTTGATTGCCTTGCCATAACTTAAGACGTAGGCTTCGGTTTCTTTTTTTTAGCACATTGCAAACTATTTACTCTGTGTTCTTGATCCATTCCACCACTATTATAAAAGCAATATGAGTTTGACACTTTGTACTTTGTATTAATGAGATACTTATTGCCCAAGAGCGGTTCTAGAAATTTAAACCTCAACATTAGCAAACTGTTAACTAAAGCCACAACATTTCTCCAAATGTTTATCTTTTTATTAAAAGAGTATCTATGCCTGGTTTCTTCAATTCTGTGAACAATTTGTCTTTCCCACTTCTCTCCAATTGTCAGGTCTTCCTAAATACTTATTCACATGCAAACTTGCCAAATCAAGTTAATGCTCTGCATCACACTTCAAAAACTCCTGCTAATTCTAACCAACACCATAGCAGGGCAGGTGTAAGAAAAAATATATTTACTTTTACAGCAAAAATGTGAAGTCTCTACTTAAACAGTTGTATCAGGACTAAGCTACAGACATCAATTGCACATGGCTTTCTTACTTATTTATTCCTCACTTTTTTGCAAGAAATAATTTATGATATTCATAATTTTAGTCAACATAATTATATATTTTATATTTTAGTGAGTCATATCTGCAGATTGAGTAAGAACACACAGAAACATTCTCTTTCTGTACTTGGTTTTCAACTAACAAAATTTGTTTTAATTCTTTGATATGCAGATTGATACAGAATTTTTAGTTGTTTGTGAACCTATCTGAAAATCTCTTTGGTGTTTCACAGCGTACTAAAGACACTTAAAAGACTTTTTAATTTTTTTTTCAATTTTAGGACCATATTGGTAATGATGAACTACTGATTTTATAAACATTATTTTTATCTTTTTGAGAAATAATAAAATCACCTTTTTATAAGCACAAAATATGAAAATGAAAATATGCACATTTTGATTGATAACATAAAAAGTTTGCATCTTAACCCATCTCATTTTTAAATTTCTTATTCCTCACTGGAAAGTAGATATCTTCTGCTGGGGGAGTGAGGAGAGGGAACGCGGAGGATGGGTCAATAGATGCAGCAAACTACCATGGCAAACACATACATATGTAACAACCCTCCACGTTCTGCACATGTATCCTTTTTGTGTTTTGTTGTTGTTGTTGTTTTAGAAGAAATACAGAAAAAAAGGAAATCTTCTGTTAGGCTGATAGCACTGGACTACAGTATGCAGGGCAATGTTTTCAAATTAGTTGAGAAGCCTCCATTAGAGTAAAGGTACCAGTTACACTTGCCTTAAAGTTTAGTCCAATTTCAAAAATTGAAAATGCTTCATATTATACATTTTAAATCATTATTTGGAATAGAATTAGACTTAGAGAGGTATACACAATTGCTCCTAACACTGTTAGTAGGGTGGAGGTTCCACAACAGGAGGGACAACCTAAAAGACCAGGGGAAATCCTCCCACAGAGTGCTCATTTGTACACTGTGGATACGACCCCAGGTAAAGCAGACCCCCATCCCAACTTTAAGACAGTTGTTGCAGGGGTTCTGCTGAGGTGGAAAGGAAGGATGTAAGGGATAATAGCACAGCATCTATGCCTGAGGAGACTAATTTTATTTGAAACAGAGAGTGGAGAACTATATGCTTAGGGACATGGTAGTAAACAATAAAAGTCTTGGTAAAGAACATTTAAAAGGAGGGTGATAGCTTCTTGAGAAGGCAAAATGTCAAAGCAGTCAGAGATTCAGTGAAGAGAACCAGGAAAAAAGACACCCCAAAAGAGCCCTCCTGATATCAGGGTCAATTCTGAGTGTTGACCCTGAGCACCTACTGAGCAGCAGCCAAAGCAAGTTGTGGTGCAGAATTGAAATTATTCCCCAAGCTACACACATACTCAAAAAACCCATGATAGAATCCACATTGACATGACAGGCTTTAAAACAATCTCTGTCAAAGCACTAAACCAAAAGCTACTTTGACCCATGAAAGACTCTTTGGATGCCAGACTTAAAAGCAATATCATGGTAATCCTGGCAAAGAAAATATCTACTCAGGAGCTATCAGAGAAGGAAACCTCAAGCTACTAGTCTCTGAATGAATATGAGGTAAACATACGTAACATAATCTTCATGAATTGTGATAGAGACTTTTAAGCCACATGCACATGCGCATGCACACACACACACACACACACACACACACACACACACACAGCTAAAGGCAAAAATTAAAAATCTAGCAGGCTAAGAGCACAACCTTTTACTAATAAGTGGTATAAGCTGACCTAGTGGTAACACTAGGTAACCATGCTAAAAGATAAAAATGGAGAAAATATTAGTAGGAACATCAGATTCTTCTTACTGTGAAGAAAATATATTTTTCAGAATTAACTAAGCCAAGTCATTAAACAAACAACAAAACAAAAACATACAAAAATATTACAGTAATCCCGTTACCTTTCCTGTTGCTTTGAAATTCCAATTTTTATTACAAATTAGACATTTTAGATAATCAGTTGTAACAATTCTAGATAAACTGTGTTCTCTAAAATGTCCTTATTTCAACCAAAAAAATGTTTCAATAAACAGGAAAATGAGACTGATACATAGGGAAAAAGCCATGCAAAAGAAATAGACTTTGAGGGATAGAAACATGGCAACTTATCAGAAAATATTTTCAAAGAAGCTATTATAACTATGCCCACAAAGCTAAAGAAAAAAAAAGTTAAAATTTTGAAGGAATGTATGTTGATAGTATTTCACCAGATAAAATATATCAAAAATGGAAATAATTAAAAAGGATTTAGTTGAAATATTAAAGGTGAAAAATATAACAACCAAAATGAAAAAAAAAAGAACTAGAAAGTTTAATAGATTTGAGCTGTCATGAGAATCAATCAGTGAACTTGAAGATAGATTGTTAGAGATCAGTATTCTGAAAAACAGAGAGGAAAAATGATGAAAAATGGCAGTGTCAGAGAAATATGGTGGGGCATTAAGCATACTAAGGTATACATAATGAATGTACTAGAAGAAGAGAAGAGGGAACAAGAGACAGAAAAATGTTTGAGAAAATAATGACTGAAACATTTCAAAATTGCATGAAAAATATTAATTTAGACATTTACAAATCTCAACAAATTCCAGGTAGGATAAATATGAGAACATCCACACTCAGAAAACTCATTATAAAAATATTGACAGACAAAGAGTAATTATTGAAGTCAACAAGAGAAAAATAATACATCATGTAGAATATAAGAACAGTATCTGACTTTCCATCAGAAATAATAGAAGCTAGAGGCATTGTGACAATATATTCAATGTGCTAAAAGTAAAACAAAACTAAACAAAACAAAAACTGTCAACCAATCAATCAGGAATGTTTTGGCAAAATAAGGCCTTTATCTGTCATGGAAAAATTGACATAATTCATTTCTAGCACACCTATCTTATGAGAAATAGTAAAGAAAGTTATTTAGGGTGAAGAACTGATAATTATAGAGTAATTTGAATCTTCATACAAAAGGCACTGGTAAAAAATAATTACGTAATTAATTAGAGAAAATGGTATAGTTGTATAATCTTCTTTCTTCTCTTATTTGAAGAGCAACTACATAAAACAATATATAATTTACTTATTGAACCTATAATACGTGGAAA
Source organism: Homo sapiens (assembly GCF_000001405.40). Lineage (NCBI taxonomy): Eukaryota > Metazoa > Chordata > Mammalia > Primates > Hominidae > Homo > Homo sapiens. Next base: position 89,669,385 of record NC_000023.11, on the reverse strand, counting down.
TATAATTTATGTAACAATATTAATACAAGAAGAAAGGTAGGAACAAAGATGGATTGTATTAAGGATATAAATAATAACAGATGATACCTCATATCCAGAAGAAGAAACATAAATGTGTCCACATTTGTGACTTTTATTCAACATTGGATTTTAGGTTCTAGCAAGGCCAGTTTGGGAAATAAATAAATAATAAATAAGTAAATACCATTTAGATTGAAAATGAAGACTTAAAACAATTTTATTTTCGAATAATAGCATCTTATGTAGAGAAGATCCCAAGGAATATACTAAATATCTATTAGAAATAATAAGAAAGTTCACAATCTTTGTCAGAACACAGGATCAATATACAAATATCAATTGTATTTCTGTTTTGATTGAGTAATTAGAAATATTTTGATTGAGTAATTAGAAAATAAAATTAAGGAAATGACTTACTTTACAACAGCATCAAAAGAATAAAATTCTTCTGATAACCATACTTCTACTCTCTATGTCCAACTAAAAACTTAGTGAAAGAAGCACAACACTTTAGTACTGAAAAGTATAAAAGAAGTAAAAGTCATACTATGTTTATAGAACAGAAAACAATATCGTTACCATAATATTGCCCAAGTTGGTCTATAGATTAAATACAAATCCAATCAAAATCACATCTTGCTTTTTTTTGCAGAAATTGTCAGATGCTCCTAAAATTTATATGAAAATTCAAGACACCCATAACAGCCAAAACAATCTTGAAAAAGAAAAAACAAATTGAAAAGTCACAGTCAACTATAAAACTATAGTCATCACTTATTTGTAATACTAGCATGAAGGTATAAATATATATCAATAATTAGAAATTAGGGTATAGAAACAAACTCTTACATTTATGATCAATTTTTGACAACTACACCAAAATAATTCCATGGGAAAAGAGCACATTGTTTAGGTACCACTAGATATCTACATGCAAAAGCGTGAATTTGAATCCCTACTTCACACTATTTGGAGAACCTGAAATTAATAACCTCCTGAAGGGAGAAGTGATTGAAAAATGTGTGTTTACTGAGAGAAGGAGCAAGAAAAATAAAAAAGTCTAAATTCTCACTTTAATTATTTAACTTCTCATAGCTTCACTTCAATATCTCTAAGTCAGCTTGGAAACTGTTCAGAGTGAATAACTGGAATAAATAAAGGTACACGGTGCTCATTATTTTTCAGATAAATATGATCAATGAGCGGATGTAGGTCTAAAGCATAAAAGCTGATTTTGATGCCTGACATTTTCAGACAGAGGAAATGGAAATAAAACCCAAATTGTTTGTATGTTCATGAGTCAGAAAAAATGACTGATTTAGTATTACTGTCACTTATTCAGGAGAAAATCAGCCATCATCATGATTACATTTGATGTGGGTCACATCCCCGTACTCAGTGAAAACAATGCAGGGTTGTTGCTGATCTGAGAAAGGATAATAGCACTCAGGGTCACTCAAAGAAGGAAAATTTTCTTCTCAAGCTATTAATCATTCTCAGTGGTCCTTTGTCTCAAGTATTTCATTCAAAATAAAATTGGTGTACCTTATAGAGATAGTGACCACAACAACAAAACATTCCCCTCCATCCTGAAACTACTGACAGGTTGCTTTGAGACTGACTATTTAATTACAGTTATACCTATTGCAAACTCCAGCTCTGCTCCAGTAGCTTGTAAGTCAGGTAGACAGAACATATATTATAGCACTAGGAGGAATAGGAATAAAACCGATGATACCATTAGTCTTCATGACTCTTGATTCACCTGACTGAATCTCTCCCTCCCTAAGTTTATATATTTATATAAAGTGATTAAGTAATCATAAATATTACCCACTCCCAAGAATACAAATCCCTCAAACAGGTACTCATAACCATGTAGGCAAGGCAATGGATTTGAGGAAATAAGAAAATGCACTGTAGTGTTCTAGATAAGGAATGTATACTCAAGCACATTCAAATTCTGATTTAAGCATATGGAGTTCAATTGAGAAAATTTCTGCCTCTTATTTAACTCAATGACAAGGTAATCATCTTTAAAAAGTATTTTCTCTTATGACATGATACTATCACCAGACACTTGATATTACAATTTTTCTCAAGAACACATATCCACGCATTATAAGTACACAGTCAGTACAATTTGATAATATAACATAAATGTAGACTTTATTTTTAACTACACATTTACTTCATGTCAAAATATGGCTTGTGGGGAGGGTTCAAGATAGCTGACTAGAGAAATCAGATACTCACCTCCTCCACAAATAACAAAAATTGTGAAAAGATAGTCCTAATTTAAATAGAGCATCTAAGAAAGAGCACTAAAATTCAGCAGAGATGTGACAGTAAACACCTGAGGGATGGAAGAGGGAAGTAAGACAGACAGCTCAGCCAGAATTGTCCAGGAGCCTGGAGATGCTCTCCAGTTCAGGGAAGGAGTAAGTGAGAGATTCCCAGTGGTTCATATTTCCACTATGGATTCCTAAACCCCTAACCATTGGAGAGCCCCTTGACCCTTACAGGCCCTGAGCCTAAAATAAGGAGCTGCCTGGAGTCCATGTGATGGTAGTGCTCCAGATGGGGAACTTACACCTGGTCCCACACACCGCTTGAGATTTAAGCAGCTACATGCCTGTCCCATTTTGAGAATCTAGTCCCCACCTGATTATAGTTTGCCTTCAGGCCCAGCAGAACCAGCATCTCCACATCTTCAGAGCCCCACAGACATTCCCCCACATACACCTGGAGGACTGCAGAGGCACAATTCTGGCTGGACCCTACAGTGCAGAAGGGTCCCCAGCACTCTAGCCCACACAGAGTCCTGCACCCTGGGAAAAAGGCAGTACAGTGCCCTGGGGAGACTGTCCCTACGACAAAGGAAGCCAAAGCATGTGGTCTCCAGAGCCTGAGATTTGCCTGCCTGAGGCTGCTAAGAGCAACCCCAACCCCATAAGCATCTAGGTGACTGCACACTAGCAAGTTTCCTAAGGACAGTGTCCACACACACTGCCATGGCCACTGCTGCTGTCAAGGGCCAAAGTATGTGCTCTTCAGAGCCTGAAAGCCACCCACCTATCTGGGGCCACTCCCACTGATAGCAGCCTCTCTTCTACCAGTAGCGCAGCTGCTGTACACTAACGCATGCGCTGAAGACAGGCTCTCCCCACACACTGCCACTGCCTCCACTGTCTCTAGGGCTGAAGTACATGCTCCTCAGAGCCTGAAAGCTGCTTGCCTGCCTGGGGCTGCCCTCACTGACAGCAACCCCATTCCCTCCAGCAGCATGGCTGCTATGCACTTAGATTGCACTGAGGTCAGCCTGTTTCCACCCACTACTATGGGTTGCCCCACCCTGCTCATCACAGCCTGTGCTCATGTGCACCGCCAGGGGTCCTGAGGACAAACTGCCTGGCCTACCAACACCATCCCCAGTGCCTGAATATACTGACAGAGGTCTAGGGATCACCATCCCAGTCCAACACCATCTATGCACTCCTCTCAGGAAAATGAGGAGGAGTCCATTCAGCCTCCTGCTACCAACACTGTCACACACCTACACACTCCAACTGGGGGCCTGGAGATTGGCCAAAACAGCTAATCAAAACCTCTGTTAATATTAGTGTGTGCCACCTGAGAGCCCAACTGTTATCCCGACACTGCTACTACCATCGTTCATGTTAAGGACATTGCCCACGGGCCTGAGGTCCTGCCCACCTGCTTGGCCCACTACTGCAACTGCCAGCACCTGAGAAATGTGCCTAGAGGCCTAGGAATCGGCCCACCTAAACCCACTAACACCAATGCCCCTGCAGACAGCACTGGGGCCTAAGGACAGACACACTTAGCCCACCACTGCCATCACCGGATTGGCTCACCTGCTGCCCCCATTCCCAGCAAAGTCTTGCCACAGCCTCCACTAACAAACAAACCAAGCCAATGAAGAAATCACAGATGCCACTGACACTGCTTATAGCAGGATAAATTATATGGAGGCTGCACTATTCCATGCATATAGAATCAAAGCTAAAGTATTCTACCCAACCTTCGCCATAGGTGTATTTTCAGGAAAAAGTCGTTCACAAAAGTCAATCTAAAAACTTAGAAGAAATGATTATTACATTAGATGAACAGATATTAATGTAAGGAAACAAGAAACATGAAAAAGCATTGAAATATGACTCCTCCAAAAAACACAATAATTCTCCAGAAATAGATTCCAATAAAAATTATGAAGTGACAGAAAATGAATTCAAAAATATGACATTAAAGAACTTAGTGAGATAAAGAGAACACAGGTAAACAATACCAAAGAAATCAGAAAAACAATTCAGAATATCAATGATAAATTCACCAAAGAAATAGATACTATTTTAAAAATCATGGACCTAATAAACTCAATAGGAAAAAAAAATACATTTGAGAGCTCCAACAAAATACTCGATAAAGCAGAAGAAATAATTAGAAAACTAAAAGATGGGTATTTTAAAACAACCCAATCAGAAAAAAAAATAAAGAAAAAGAAAAAATAATAAAGAATAATCCAAACCTCTCTGACATATAAAACACCATAGAATGACTGAATATTTAATTTTTTTTTTGTATTCCAGAAAACAAAAAGAAGGTCAAATGCATAGAAAACCCATGTAACAAAATACTAGCTGGAATCTTCCCAAATCTCACAAGTGGCTTAGACATATAGATATAGGATGCTCCGAAATCCTCAACACAAAAAGGTCTTCTTCACAAGTATGGACCATACATTAGGTCACAAAAAAAGTCTTAAAATATTCAAAAATTTGAAATATATCAAGCATCTTCTCTGATCCCAATGGAATAAAACTAGAAATTGATAACAAGAGGAATTTCTGAAACCATACAAACACGTGGAAATTAACCAATATGTTCCTGAATAAGCAGTAATTCAATAAAAAATTACAAAGGAAATTCAAAAATTTCTTGAAACAACTAATAGAAACACAACACCAAGGCTTATGGGATATAGTAAAAGCAGTACTAAGAGTAAAGTTTATAGCTACAAATTCCTACATTATAAAAGAAGAAAAACTTCAAATAATCAACCTAGTAATGTATTATAAAAAACTGGAAGTCAAGAGCAAACTAAATTCAAAATTAGTAGAAAAATAGAAATAATGAATGTTGCAGAAGAAATCAATTAATTAAAGAAAAAAATACAAAAGAACAATAAAACAAAAAGTTGACTTTTTGAAAAGATAAAGAAAATTGACAAACCTTTACCCAGACTAAGAAAAGGAAAGACCCAAATAAGTAAAATTAGAGATGAAAAAGGAGACATTACAGCAGATACCACCAAAATTCAAAGGATCATTAGTGGCTAGTATGAACAACTATATGCCAATAAATTGGAAAATCTAGAAGAAATAGATAAATTCCTAGACACATACAATCTACCAAATTTGAATCATGAAGAAATACAAAACCTGAACAGACCAATAAAAAAGTAGTCAGATCAAAGCCATAATAGAAAATCTTCTACCCAGGATTTGATGGCTTCACTGCTAAATTCTAACAAACATTTAAAGAACCTCCTTAAACTATTTCAAAAAAAAATTGGAGGAGTAGGGAATATTTCCAAACTCATTCTATAAAGCCAGTATTACCCTGATACCAAAATCAGACTAAGACACATCTGAAAAAGAACACTATAGGACAATATCACTGGTGAATATTGAGCAAAATTCCTCAATAGAATACTAGCAAACCGAACTTTACAACCCATTAAAAAGATCGTTTCTCATGACCAAGTGGGATTTATCCCAGGGATGCAAGGATTGTTCGACATATGTGAATCAGTTAATGTGATACGTCATATAAACAAAATATAAGACAAAAATCATATGATCATTTCAATTAATACTGAAAAATCACTTAAAAAAATTAACATCCCTTCATGATTAAAAACCTTCAATAAACACAGTATAGAAGGGATGTACCTCAACAGAATGAAAGCCATATAATACAGACCCATAGCTAGTATCAGACGAAATAGGAAAAAAGTGAAAGCCTTTTCTCTATGATCAGGAACACAACTAGGATGCCTACTTTCCCCACTGTTTTTCAACACAGTTCTGCAAATCGTAGCTGGAGCAGTCATACAAGAGAAAAAAATGACGAGCAACCAAATTGGAAAGGAAGAAATCACATTATCTTTATTTGTAGATGATATGATTTTAAATTAAAAAAACTAATGACCCCACTATAAAACTATTAAAACTGATAAACAGTAAAGTTTCAGGATACAAAATCAACAAAGAAAAAGCATTCTATATGCCAACAATGAACAATATGAAAAAGAAATCAGAAAAGTAACTCCATTTACAATAGCTACCAGTTAAATTAAATACACAGGAAATAACGAAAGTGAAAATCCTCTACACTGAAAATTATAAAACCTCGATAAAATAAATTGAAGAAGACACACAAAAATGGAAAGATATTCTACGTTCATAGGTCAGAGGATTCGATATTGTTAAAAATGTTTACACTATCCAAAGCAATCTACAGATTTAATGCAATCCCTGTGAAAACACGAATGACATTCTTCACAATAATAGCAGAAATCCATCCTAAAATGTATGTGAAACCAGAGAATACCCAGAGTAACCAAAACTATTCTAAGCAAAAAATATAAAACTAAAGAAATCACATTACCTGACTTGAAATTATACTACAGGCTATAGTACCCAAAGAAGCATGGTATTTGATGATGAGAGACACATACATCAGTGGAATAGAATAGGGAACCCATAGATAAATCCACACATCTACAGTTAACTCATATTAAACAAAGGTGCCAAGAACATACATTGGGGAAAGGACAGTCTCTTCTATAAATGGTGCTGGGAAAAGTACACATTCATATGCAGAAGAATGAAACTAGACTCCTATCTCTCACCACATACAAACGTCAAGTCAAATGTATTAAACACTTAAATCTAAGACCTGAAACTATGAAACTACTAAAAGAAGCATTGTGGAAACTCTCCAGGACATTGGACTTGGCAAAGAATCCTTGCCACAAGCAAAGGCAACCAAAACAAAAATGGACAAATCGGATCACATCAAGTTACAAAGCTTCTGCACAGAAAAGGAAACTATCAACAAATGAAGAGACTGCCCAAAGAATGGGAGAAAATATTTGCAAACTACCCATCTGACAAGGGATTAATAACCAGAATATCTAAGAAGCTGAAACAACTTTATAGAAAAAAATGTAATAATCCAATTTAAAAAATGGGCAAAAGATCTGAAAAGACATTTCTCAAATGAAGACACATAAATGGCAAAAAGGCATATGAAAACGTTCTCAACATCATTCATCATCAGAAAAATGCAACTCCAAACTACAATGAGATATTATCTCACTCCAGTTAAAATGGCTTTTATCCAAAAGATAGGCAAGAATGTGAAGAAAAGGATGCTGGCAAGGATGTGAAGAAAAGGGAAGCCTCATACGCTGTTGCTGGGAATGTTAATTATTACAACCAACCTGGGAAACAGTTTGGAGGTTCTTCAAAATAATAAAAAATAGAGTTACTGTGATCCAGATATCTCACTGCTAGGTATGTACCCAAAAGAAAGGAAATTAGTATATTGAAGAGATATGTGCACTCCCATGTTTATTGCAGTGCTCTTCACAATAACCAAGATTTGAAAGCGACCTAAGTGTCCATCAACAGATGAATGCATAAAGAAAATGCGGTGCATGTACACAATGGAGTACTATTCAGTCATGAAAAGAGTGAAATTCTGTCACTTGCTACAACATGGATGGAATTGATGGTCATGTTAAGTGAAATAAGTCAGACACAGAAAGACAAACTTTTCATATTCTCACTTATTTGGAGCTAAAGATTAAAATAATTAAATTCATATTGATAGAAACTAGAATGATGGAACACAGAGGCCGGGAAGAGTAGTGGGATGATGGTGGAAAAGTAGAAATGTTTAATGGTTATAAAATATAGTAAGAAAGGATGAATGAGACCTAGTATTTGCTAGCACACAGGATGACTATATTCAAAAATGATACAATTGTACACCTTAAAATAACTGAAATGCTGTAATTGGATTATTTGTGATACAAAGGATAAATGCTTCAGGTGATGGATTCCCTCCAAAAAATAAAAAATAAGAACATAAAAGTGAAATAAAATAAAATAGCTAAAAGAGTGTAATTTGATTGTAACAAAAAGGATAAATACTTGAGGTGATGGATACCCCATTTATCCTGATGTGATTATTATGCACTGCATGACCGTATCAAAATATCTCAAATAAGCTATAAATATATATACACACTGTATACTCACAAAACAAAAGCAACAACAAAAAGAAGCTGGATGGTGGGGAACTTACTTACAGAGTATGAGGGAATATGATAAAAATTACATCTAACATTTCCTAAGAAACTATACAAATCAGAGTGGAATTAGTAAAATAATTAGTGTTGAGGGGAAAACAATCCCCAACCTAGAATGTCATATCCTGTGAAATTACCCTTTAAATGTGAAGCAACAATAAAGACTTCCTCAGTTTTTTGGCAGTAGGTCTCACTTACAAGAAATGTTAAAAGAAGTTCCTCAAAGAGAATAAAAATAATGCAGGTAAGAAACTCTAGATCTACATAAAGAAAGTAAGGACATTAGAGACGAAATAAGTGAACTTAAAATACCAATTCTTATTTTTCTTATTCTTAATTGATTTAACAGAAAACAGGTCAAAATAATGATAGCAGTAACATATTTGATAATTACAGTTTATCTACAAGTGAAATGAGTGATAGAAATAATACAATGAGGAGGGAAAGATAAATAGAAATATTTTGTTATTTATAAGCCTCTTGCACTCGTGGTGAAGTGGTATAGTGTCATTTAAAAGCAGACTTTTATTAGCAGCAAATATATACTGCAAACTCTGGAGCAACCACTAAAAGGAGGAAAAAAACACGAATAATTGATATTCTAAAAGAGGAGGGCATATGGAAACGTATAAAAAGTTCAATTAAAACCAAAAAAGAGAGAAAAAGAGAAAACAAACATCATCATAAATGACAAGGGCAACACAGAAAACATTGACCTATATGATATATATTAATCCAACTATATCAATAATTACTTTCAATTCTAATACCCTAAATATAACAATTAAAACAAAAATTTTCAAAGTGGATCAAAAAACAAGACTCAACTACTTGTTGTCTATAAAAACTCACATTAAATATAAAGACACATATAGATTAAAACTGAAGAGATGAAGAAAGATATACCATGCTAACCCTAATCAAAAGCAAGCTGGATAGATAATGTTAGAGCAAACTTTACAGCAAATAAAATTAATGGGGATAAAGGTGGCATTACTTATAGATATAAACCTAAATTTTCTAATAAGCAATAATAACTTTTATTTTGTATGTACGTAACAACAGAGTATGGGAGGCAAAATACTCATGTGAGGCAACAACAAAATATGTAAGGCAGAAACTGATAGAACTGTAAGAAACAATAGATAAATCCTTTATGGGGACTTCAACACCCCTCCATCATAAATGAACTAATCCTGCCATCAGGAAATCATTAAAGACATTAGTGAACTCAAGATCATCAATGAACTGGATATAATTGACATCTATAGACTACTTCATCCAATAACAATAGAATACACATTCTTCTTAAGCTTACATAAAACATTCACCAAGATCGACCATATGCTGAACCATAAAATGCACCTCAACTTATAATAATAAAATTACACAAAGTATGCTCTCAGACCAAAATGTAATTAAACTAGAAATCAATAATTGAAAGAAAGCTTAAAAATCTCAAAATACTTGTTAAACAGCACACTTCTAAGTAACATATGGGTCAAAGAAAAAAATCTCAAGAGATATTAAAATATTTTGAAATAAATGGAAATAAAAACACAAGTTATCAAAATTTGAGGAAAGCAGAAAAAAATCAGTGATTAGAGATAAATTTATAACATTGAAGGCATATATTAGAAAATAAGAAGCATCTGAAATCTTTTACTTTAAGAAAGTAGAACAGGGCACGTTAAATTCAAAGTAAGCAGAAGAAAAAAGTAATAAAAATATGGAATTAATCAATAAAATTTAAAATAAGGAAATTGAGAGAGAAAAATCAATGAAACCAAAGGCTGGTTCTTTGAAAACCTAGATAATATTGATAAGCTTCTAGCCAGGCTTACAAAAAAAAAAAAAAATCAAGAGAAGATAGAATAAAAAATAAAAGCGGGGATATCAATACGGTCATATGGCTATTAAAACAATAATAAATAGTGTGAACAATGTTATTACCACAAATTTGATAACAAATGAAATGGACTAATTTCAAGTCTTAAGTCTGTAGCCTGAGAAGCAGTGAGTGCCAATGGTGTAACTTCCAATCCAAGGGCAGTATGTACCCACTGGTTCTCAGGCTACAGAATTACAAGAGTGGTTACAAGAGTGGTTTTTTTCTGCACAGGAAATTATGTCACCTTTGAACAAAGATTTTTCTTTCTATCTTCCCAACCTGTTTGCCTTTCACTTCCCTTTCTTATTGCATTAGCTAGTATTTTCAGTACAGGGTGGAAAAAGAGCAGTGGTAGAGGACATCTTTTGGTGTTCCTGATATTAGCAAGAAAACATCTAGTTTTTGATCATAAGTATGATTTTAGCTATATGTTTTTCTAGATGTGTTTAATCAACTTAAGGAATTTTTTCTTTATTCCTAGTTTGCTCAGAGTTTTATCATGAATGAATTTTGAATTTCATCAAATGCTTTTCCAGAATTTATAGATATAATCGTGTGATTTTTTTTAACCTGTTGATATGATGGATTACATTAATTGATTTTCAAATGTTGAGCCAGCTTTTCTTACCTGGTATAAACCCTACTTGATCATGAGGTATAATTTTTATGCATTCTTGGATTTTATTTGTTAATATTTTGTTGAGGATTTTTGCATCTATGTTCACAAAAGATATTGGCCTGTAGTTTTCTCTTCATGTAATGTTTTTGTCTGGTTTTGGTATTAGGGCAATGTTGGCTTCATAAAATGAGTTAGACATACTGCCTTTGCTTTCAACTCCTGAAAGAAATTGTAGAGAATTGGGCTAATTTTTTCTTTATTTTATTTTTCAATTAATGAAATAATTAGAGACAGAGCCTTGCTCTTTTGCCCTGGCTGAAGTGCAGTGGTATAATTACAGGTCATTGCAGCTTTGAACTTTGCACTCAAGTGATCTTCTCACTTCAGCCTCCTGAGTAGTTGGCACTACAAGTGTATGCTACCATACATGGCTAATTGCTTTTAATATTTTTATAGATATATGAATCTCACTATGTTGCCAAGGCTTGCCTTAAATCCTGGCTTCATATGATCCTCTCTCCTCATCACCCTAAAGCCCTGGAATTAACTACAGGTGTGAACCACCAGAACTAGCCAATTTTCTTAAATATTTGCTAGGTTTTTCAGTGAATTCATCTGAGACTGGATCTTTGTTTTGGGAGGTTATTATTGATTCCATTTTTTAAATAAATACAGGTTCATTCAGTTTGTCTATTTCTTCTTGTATGAATTTTGGCAGATGTATTAGTCCATTCTCACACTGCTAATAAAGACATACCCAAGACTGGTTAATTCATAAAGGAAAAAGGTTTAATTGACTCACAGTTCAGCATGGCTGGGGAGGCCTCAGAAAACTTACAATCATGGAGGAAGGGGAAGCAAACATATCCTTCTTCATATGGTGGCAGCTGGGAGAAGTGCCCAGCAAAATGGGAAAAGCTCCTTATAAAACCACCAGATCTCATGAGAAATCACTCACTATCGTGAGAACAGCAGCATGGGGGAACTGCCCTTACGATTCAATTATCTCCACCTGGTCCCTCCCATGATATGTGGAGATTATGGGAATTACAATTCAAATTGAGATTTGGGTGAGGACACAGCCAAACCATATCAGCAGAGTAATAGCTAATTTTTTTTTTTTTTTTGAGACAGAGTCTCACTCTGTCACCCAGGCTGGAGTGCAGTGGCATGATCTCGGCTCACTGCAATCTCTGCCTCCTAAGTTCAAGTGATTCTCCTGCCTCAGCCTCCTGAGTAGCTGGGACTACAGGCACCTGCCACCACGCCTGGCTAATTTTTGTATTTTTAGTAGAGACAGGATTTGACCATATTGGCCAGCCTGGTCTCGAACTCCTGACCTTGTGATCCACCTGCCTCAGCCTCTCAAAGTGCTGGGATTACAGGCATGAGCCACCACACCCAGCCATAATAATTAATTTTATATGTCAACTTCATTGGGTGAAGATGTGTTTAGATTAAATATTGTTCCTGGGTATGTCTGTGAGGATGTTATAGAATGAGAGGACCATTTAAATTTATGAACTCAATAAAGTAAATTGACCTCCCTAATATGGATGGACTTCATCCAATATGCTGAGCATTTAAATATAATAAATTTACTCCTTTTACTTCCTTGACTGCCTGCTTAATTAATAAGCAATTATAGCAAGATTGCTGGACATTTATTGCTTTCCTATCTCAGCAATGAACAAGTAAAATTTGAATCTGAAACCAAAATACCATTTACATTAGCAGCCTCCAAAAATACTTAGCTATAAATCTAACAAAACATGTAGATATTAGTTCATTTTCATACTGCTATGAAGAAATACCTGAGACTGAGTAATTTATAAAGAAAAAGAGGTTCAACGGAATCACAGTTCTACGTGGCTGGGGAGGCCTCACAATTATGGCAGAAGGTGAAGGAGGAACAAAGGCACGTCTTACATGGTGGCAGGCAAGAGAGCATGTGCAGGGGAACTGCCCTTTATGAAACCATCAGATCATGTGAGACTTATTCACTATTATGAGAACAGCACAGGTAAAATCCGCCCTCATGATTCAATTGCCTCCCACTGGGTCCCTCCCATGACACACAGGGACTATGGGAGTTACAATTTAGGATGAGATTTGGGTGGGAATGCAGCCAAACCATATCAATATACAAGATCTATATGAGGACAATGACAAAACATTAATGAAATAAATTAAAGAACAAAGTAAATGAAAATATAGTCCATATTAATGAATAGGAAGAGTCAATAGAGACAAGAACTAAGTTCTTCCAAATTGTATCTACAGATCCAATTCAATCTCTATCAAAAGTGCAGCATGTTACTTTGTGGGTATCAAGAAAGTGATTCTAAAGTTTTACATGGAGAGGAAAAAGACCCAAAATAGCAAACAGAATATTGAAGATAAAAACAAAGTAGAAAGACTCACACTATCTGACTTCAAAATTTACTGTAAAACTATAGTAATATAAAAAGTATTGTATTTGTGAAAGAATAGACAAATAAATGTAACAAAATAGAGGGTCCAGAAATTGACCCACATGAGTTTAGCCAACTATCTTTGAAAAGGAAGCAAAATAATACAATGGAGTAAATAGAGCCTTAAACAAATAGTACTGGAACAACTGGACTTCTACATTAAAGAAATGAACTTAGACTCAGATATTACACTCTTCACAAAAATAAGCTCAGAATGGATTATAGATTCAAATGCAAAACACACAACTACAAAACTCCTAGAAAATAATGTTGAAGAAAACCTAGATGATTTGGGTATGGCAATGACTTTTAAGATCCAGCATCAAAGGCATGATCCGTGAAAGAAATTACCTGTAAGCTGGGCTTCATTAAAATTAAAAACTTCTTCTCTGTTAAAGGCAATGTCAATAGAAAGAGAAGATGAGCAACATACTGAGAGAAAATATTTGCAAAAGACCCACATGAAAAAGGACAGTAATCCAAAATGTATAAAGAACTCTTAAAATCAACAATAAGAAAACAACTAAGACATGACACAGAAACTTAACAGTTACCTCAAAAAAGAAATATACCAGTGACAATCAAGCATATTTTTACATGTTCCACATCATGTGTCATCAGGGAGATGAAAATTGAAACACCTAAATACGACACACCTATTAAGATGGCTAATACCAAAAATTAACACCACCAAATGCTGACAAGAATGTGTAGCATCAGGAAATCATATTCATTGCTGTAGAGATGAAAAATGGAGCAGCCACTTTGGAAGACAGTTTGGTGCTTTTTAAAAAAGCTTACTATAGGATCCGTCAATCACACTTCTTGGTATTTACACAAAGGAATTGAAAAGTATTTCCACACAAAACTGCACACGGATGTTTATAACAGCTTTATTTGTAATTTCCAAAAACTTGGAAGCAACGAAGATGTCCTTTAGTGTGGGAACATATAAATAAACTGTGAACCATTCAGACAAGGGATTATTGTTCAGCACACACACACAAAAATAAATGAGATGTCAAACCATAAAATTACATGGAGGGACCTTAAACGGATATTACTAAATGAAAGAGGCCAGTCAGAAAATGCTAGATACTGTATGATTCCAACTATATGGCTTTCTGGAAAAGGCATATCTATAGAGACAGTTCAGTCATTGCCAAGGTTTGGGGGAGGGAGGAATAAATAGGTGGAGCACAGAGAATTTTTAGGGCAGTGAAAATACAATGTATAATGCCATAATGGTGGATATACATCAATATACATTTCTCCAAACCCGCAGAATGTACACACCAAGAGTGAGCTCTAATATAAACTGTGGACTTTGGGTGATAATGATATGTCGATGTAGATTCACTGAGTGTAACAAATGTACCACTTTGGTTGGAGATGTTTATAATGGCAGAGGCTAGATTTGTGTGGAAATAGGGGATATATAGAAAACCTCTGTACCTTTTTCTTAATTTTGCTAGGAACTGTAAAATATGAAGTCTTAAAAAGTCTATCTAGACACAACATTTGCAACATTCACGAAACTTGACTCAAGATGGTTCATGAACAGAAATATAAAATGCAATAGTATTTTATTATTTATTTTAGCAAACTTGTTTTTGAGGTATTGCAAATTAAAAGAATAATGAAATACTACTACATACCTATTGAAATGTCTAAAAACTTACGATAATAAATGCTGGAGAGGTTGCTTAACAATATAAACTCATTGATTGCTAATGGAATACAAAATGGTTGAGGTGCTTTGGAAGACAGGCAGTCTCTTACAAAACTGTATGATCACAGTCACCACATGACCCAATAGTCATGCTCCTAGTTATTATCAAATTTATTTCATAACCTATAATCACATAAAAATCCAAGCATAATGTTTATTGCAGCTTTATTTATAATTGCCAAGAGCTGGAAGCAAACAGATGAGCTATCAAACCATGAAAAGACAAAAAATATTAAATGTTTCTTGATAAAGAAACCTTAGGTTCCAATTGTATAACATTCTGGAAAAGGTAAAATTATAAAGACAAAGTAACCCATGGTTATCAGGGCTTTAGGGGTAATAAAGAGGTAGAAACAAATAAAGATCAAGGGATTTGGGTTACAGTAAAGTTTTTCTGTGTGATGCTATAGCAGTGAATGCAAGCCATTATGCATTTGTCAAAACCTGTAGAACTTTACTGCACGAAAACTGGTCCATGTGCAAATTTAAAAACATAATTTAGGTGGTCAAAGGGTCACTTAAAAATGCAGAGTGTGACAGGATATTCTAACTGTATTACAAACACATAAAGCAAACTCACTTAATGGGAGAGGGAGAAAAGGTGCTGACTCAAGCAACTTTGCAAATGAGTAGGATCTGTAAGCATAAGACTATGAGAACTGCACATGAGCACTGTAATCTAGTTGATAAAATAGTTTCCCATGGGTGTATGAGCTAATGGCTCTGCTATACATGTATAATGGAATTAAACATTTAATTAAATACATGACTGATGGAAGGAATCAGTCTTCTTATAGTTGGAGTAAGTTTATAGATAAAGAAAGAAATAAAAACCTATCCATATGGTAATGGATGAGAACTGTAAACGTCAGCATGACCTCACGTTTAGCTTAATATAGATACAGATGGTTACATATACAACTATTGATAGATATGTGTATATACAAAAGTTATCATACACAAGTATTTTTTTCTCTGTCAGCTGAGTGAGCCTAAAAGAAGTGATACATGAGTAGCAATGAGCACACTTAGTGGCTGAATAATGATTTCTAATACCATTCTCCAACAAAGGCACCAGGGCTCATTGGAGAAGTGGCTGGTTATAGGACTAGGGTGGGAAGTATACAAGATGAGTGTGTAGCATCTTGTAGTGCCGAGAAGCAAGAAAATGCTCACAACATATATACAAACGTACATAAATACATGCACATACACACATACAAGGATGGGGGTATATCAAAGAAGCACAGGAGTCAGCTGAAATAGGCTCCAGTGTCAAAATGTAGATAATTTTAAACAAAAAATAAATAAAGTAGCACTAGATTTTAATCCACAGTATACAATAAATCTCTATAAATTTATACTGATATAAATATATGATTAAATATATTAATTAATGGAAATGAATTATGAGTTTCCCATGCAGAGAATTCCTAATAATTTATGTAGACACCCTGCCCTCAAGGACGGGATGCAAATACTCTTGTTTGTGGTATGCACATAGTGACTTCCTTCCAAAGTGTATAATATAGAAAGGAAGGAAAATAGTACATTTACAGTGGTGGAGCAACGTAACAAAGGTTACCTCAGGCAGTCAGTCAAAGTCAACATCGACAGTCATAAATCATTTTGATGATATGGATTCTTGATATTGATGAAAATGGTACTCTACCTCTGTGGTCTTCCTCCCAATAACTCATAACCCATGATTTAAAATTAGAAAAACATCAAACAAATTGGAATAATAAACATTTCACAAATACTCCTTAAAACTTCTTTTTTTTTTTTTTTTTTTTTTTTGAGACGGAGTTTCGCTCTGTCTCTAGGCTGGAGTGCAGTGGCGCGATTTTGGCTCACTGCAACCTCCGACTCCCTGGTTCAAACAATTTTCCTTCCTCAGCCTCCTGAGTAGCTGGGATTACAGGCATGTGCCACCACGTCCAGCTAATGTTTTTTGTATTTTTAGTAGAGACGGGGTTTCACCATGTTGGCCAGGATGGTCTCGATCTCCTGGCCTCGTGATCCGCCCGCCTTGGCGTCCCAAAGTGCTGGGATTACAGGCATGAGCCACCGCGCCAGGCCTAAAACTCCTTAAAACTGCTAAGTTAATCAAAAACAAGTAAAGTCTTAGAAACTGCCATAGCCAAGAGGACCCTAAAGAGAAATGACAACTAAATGTAATGTGTTATCCTGTATGAAATCCCTAAAGAGAAAAAAAAATACATTAGGTAAAAGCTAAGGAAATCTAAGTGAATTATGGAATTTTGTTAATATCAATTCATCAATATTGGTTCATTAATTGTAATACATGTGTCATAATAATGTAAGGTGTTAGTAGGTGAAATTGAGTTCAGAGTGTATGGGAATCCTCTGTACTGTCTGTTCAGCTTTCCTGTAAATATGTAAGTGATATAAGAATAAAGTGTACTAAAAATGATTACGTCATTGACTAACATGTAAAGATTAAATAAATATGTTACATAATATTTCCAGAATAAGAGTAATCCAGGAATTTTTTTTCAAGAAAGTAGGACTTCAGCTGAACCTTGGATATAAAATGGACAAGATGATTATTACCTATGTGAAAAAATAAAAATATTTCTGAATCATTTGGCCCACTGAATTTTGTCAAATTGATCATTACTATTTTCTAATATTCACTAATACACATTTTTCTCTAGTATTTATAAACTCTTTGAAGACAGGGCATGTTTTTATTCCATAAATTGCCTAATACTGTATCTTGAATAAATGCTTCTCAAGAAATATTTGATGACTTCAGATAAACACATATGTTTAAATGTAAGCTATAAAGTATCCCTTATCTATGCTAAAACATGTAATTTTTCTAATAATTTCAGAAATAGAAAGATTAGAATATCAATATTGTTCTGTGTTAATAGGTTCCCAACATGGTTCAATTAACAGGTGACTTTTTAAGGATAATGTGCAGATTGGTTTTGTTTTATGGTTTGCTTATTTTTTTTTAATACAGATTCTAATTATCTGTCCTTAGGGCAGCTTCAGAAATTTGTGTTTTTAAAATGTCCTTAAGGTGATTCTGATTAGCAGCTAGGTTCAAGATTCACTGATTTATAATTTTGCCTGACAGTGTTAATTGTTGTGGGGAGAGATTCTGCCCAAGCTGACAGGTTCCTAACACCTAGAGAAGTTCATTGGAATGCCTGAAAAATGTGAAAAGAATATTAATTTTAAGCTTAACACTCAGTATGTTTTCACTGTTTTTAAGATCGGCATTTTGTTATTCTCTTTTCCTGACATATATGGTTAATTATTTTCCCAACAGATTTGAGTCGCACATACTCTGTATGTATTAGGAGGTAACATTTTAATTCACATTTATTAAAACGTTATTTATTTCTGTAGTTCTAGTGCTATGAATCTATGGAGAGAAATTAGTATTGAGAGTGTCAAAACAAATAGTCCAGAATAATACGACAAAATTTAAAATAAATATATCAATTTATTCTATAAAAACCTTTTATTTTGCTCTTTTATGTGTCAGATTTGTTTTCGTTTCTTGAGGAAGACTATAGTAGGGTCAGTATCTTATCATTTTCTTTCACCTTCATTTGCAAGATTTAATTTAAAATGTTACAGCATTGGCTGTCAATATGAGACCCTGAACATGAAAAAAAATGGATAAAGAGGTTGATCACAGCAAAATAGAAAACCTAAGATTCGTGACAGAAAAAGTGACCAGAGCATAGGAAATGTTCACGTAGCTCATGCATGGCTTTTGATAACTGGGTCTTTTTCTGGATATAGTTGAAAGATAAACATAAGTTGAAACTGACACCACTGGAAAGGATAGGAAAAGAACACTTCTTCATCTATTTATTACTACATTTATTCCATTTCCAAGGTAGAAAAAATGATTACCTCATTGAAAAAAAAAAACTACAGAAATTTGCAACAAGGCATGTCCTAGGAAATCTTGAGACACAGGGCTAGTGAGTGAAGTTCTCAATGGAACTGAAGTTTCTAATGTGTGTGGGCTTGACCAAATCAGACCTTCTACAAGATGTAATAATGGTACACAACATTTCTTTAATATCCATGAACATCTTTCTTTTGTCTAAGTAATACACCACCACCCATTCTTCCTTGCCAAAATTTGGCATTGAATATTGAAATGAAAACTATTATTTTTCTCTTTGGTTCTTACCATAGTCCATTTGTGTTGCCATAAAGGAAAACCTGAAGCTGCGTAATTTATTTAAAAAATAAGTTTATTTGGCTCACATTTCTGCAGGGTGTACGAGAACCATGACACCAACATCTGTTTCTGATGAAGGCCTCAGACTACTTCTACTCATGATGAAAAGTGAAAGGGAGCTGAGGTGTGCAGAAATTTCATGGTGAGACAGGAAGCAGAGAGAGAGAGACAGAGAGACAAAAAGACAGATAAAGTGGGGAAGTGCTAGGCTCTTTTAAACAACTAGCTCTCACAGGAACTAATAGAGCATGAACTCACTCATTACCATGAGGACAGCACCTAGCCATTCATGACGGATCCACCCCATGACCCAAACACCTACCATTTGACCCTACCTCCAACACTGGGGACCAAATTTCAACATGAGATTTGGAGAAACAGACATCCAAACTATGGCAGCTCCCTTGATCCTTTCTCTCTTATAGTAGAAGATAGGACTTATTTAATATTTCATTACATCACACGTGTGAGTTCTGAAGCTAAGGTTAGGTTTTACTTTAATTCATCTATATTTATACCTACATAACTTAGAAAATATGAGTTTCTAGTGCAGTTCATACTAACTTACTAGAGTTCAATATTTACTTTTAGACTCGAAACCCTAACATTCAATCGTGTTCGTTTTTCATTCTTTGCCTTTTTATGTATTTATCTTTCTCAGAGACCTCACAAGAAGAAACAATGTCAAGGCTAAGATTTAGTATCACTAGTTTGCTGGCTAACTATCACCTAAATACCACTCAATTTCAATAGGCATAATCATGAATGAAAGTGACTAGAATAAATGGCCTAGCTGTTTATTCAATATCCTGAATGTATGCTCTTGGGATCACGGTTGTGTGAAGGAAACGCAAAAAAATTAATGAGAAAAAAACAGTGAATGTGCAGGTATACAGCTTACTGCCCGGAACCAGTTATTTTCTTATAATAAAAGTAGGTTTCCAGGATGAAAGTCTCATTCGACACTCATTCCAGAAGATCACACTCTGTATTTGCTTTATAGTAATTGCTTATTGACCTACGAAACCCAAGTGACATTTGATTCTCTTATTAATGATAATACCAGAAAATCATACAAATAGAGTGGACTTCAAATTTACCTAACTTACTTACTGCCTCAATTTTAAAACTAAAAAAGAATTGCAAATGAAGAATTTCAATCCCAGAAATTTAAGTGAGTCACAACTATGACTTTGTCAGCACAGCAGGAACTATAGCACATTCTCCCAGTTCTGACTGTTTTCCACTAAACCTCACTGCTTTGTTGGCGTTGCAAGAGTTAACATTAAAATGTGAAATATAAGCTTGCTAACAATGAATCCTAATTACTAAAGACACTGTAAGAAGCATAGCAGAACCAAGAGAAGATTGTGCTGCTACCCTTAAACATAGGGACAAATTTTCTGACAACAGAGTACTTTAGAGTAAGAAATATTCTTCAGCTACAGTGTTTTTTACTTTTTTAAGCTTATAGAAATTAAATATGCACATAGCTTAATAAATCAAATAGCTTTATAATATTTGGTGAGAAAAAAAATAGCTCACCCACTCATTCCCCACTTATACCTTCCCAGAGACATTTTCAACTATTTTAGAAAATATTTTAAATGTTAACCTCCATTTCTTTAAATAAGATTGAATATTGCTATATTAAACTATTCCTGCAATGTTATGAAGAAATACCTAAGACTGACTAATCTATAAAAAGAGATTTAACAGGCTCATGGTTCTGCAGGCTGTATAGGACGCATAGCAATATCTGCTTCTGGCGAGGCCTCAGAAAGCTTCCAATCATGGTGGAAGGCAAAGACAGAGCAGGCATATCAGGTGACCAGGACAAGAGCAAGAGAGTGAGAGATTCTGAGGTGAGGGTGTAACATACTTTTCAACAACCTGATCTCATTAGCATGCAGAGTGAGAGCTCACATATTACCATGGAAATGGCCCAAGCCATTCATGATGGATCCACCCCACGATCCAAATATCGCCAACCAGACCCCACCTCTAAGACAGGGGATTACATTTCAACATGAGATTTGGGTAGGGACAAATATTCAAACTATATCAATTGATATTTATTGATTTTATAATTTTGGGCATTAGCCATTGAATTGTCACTGTGGAATATAAATATTTAGCTGTATTTTTCATCCCCATTTTGCAATATACATGTGCACATTTCACAGTCCCCTATGAATATAATTTTATTATGGTTTTATTTAGATCATCATTAAGATTTTACCTCCTTACTTTATGAATATTACTGGCAACTTATAACATAGTCTGGATACTTTTTCTTTTGTGCACTTTATTTTATTTT
The DNA here is from genome assembly GCF_000001405.40 of Homo sapiens. Lineage (NCBI taxonomy): Eukaryota > Metazoa > Chordata > Mammalia > Primates > Hominidae > Homo > Homo sapiens. The sequence continues at coordinate 89,647,684 of NC_000023.11, read as the reverse complement.
GCCTGGAATTAATTATTGCTTTGCTTTTTTTATTTGTTTCAGTGGATTTATATATTTTTTACAGCTGTATTAAGGTATTTTTGACTAATAGAAATTTTATATGTTTACAGAGTACAATATTATATTTTGATATATATATATATATATATATATATACACATTATGAAATGATTAAATCAACTAACATATCCATCACGTCACATATTTATTTTGTGATGAGAATATTCAAGATCTACTCTCCTAGCAACTTGCTAGTATGGTATATGTATTAGGCCATTCTCACATTGCTGCAAAGAAATAACTGAGACTGAGTAATTTATAAAGAAAAGAGTTTTAATTGGCTCTTTTAAATGTTAAGAATTTTAAATGGCTCTGTGAGCCATTTAATTGGCTCACAGTTCTGCGGGCTATACAGGAAGCATGGCCAGCATCTGGGGAGGCCTCAGGGAGCTTTATTCATGGTGGAAGGCAAAGAGGGAACAGGCATTTTACATGACAGGAGCAGGACCAAGCTGGGGAGGAGGTGTTAAACACTTTTAAATAACAGGGTCTCATGTCATGAGAACAGCACCTATAGGATGGTGCTAAACTATTCATGAAAGATCCACCACCATGATGCAATCACCTGCCACAAGACACTATGACCAACACTGGGGATTACAATTTGACATGACATTTGAGCAGTGACACCATTTAAATTGTATCACTATACATTATTATCAAATAGTCACCATGCTCCACAATAGACCTCTGAAACTTATTCATTCTAACAGAAATCTTTTACCCTTTGACAAACATCTACCCATTCTCCCATCCCATCGCTAAAGAGGACTTTGAGCCACCACTATTGCACTCTCTGCTGTTATGAGTTTGACGTTTTAAGAATTAACATATAAGTGAAATTATGCAGTATTTGTTATTCTGTGACTGGTTTACTTCACTTAACATCCTACAAATTTATCCCATGATTTAACAAATGTCATTCACTAGTCCCTTTTTTTTAAGGCTCAATAATATTATCTTGTGTATATATACCATGTTTTCTTTATCCCGTAGGCAGAATATAATTGGATCTTTTTTTTTTTGATGTATTCAATCTCTCCATGACATTTTATTGGAGAATTTAATACATTTATATTTAAAGTAATTATTTATAGGTAAGAACTTAACTATTGTCATTTTCTTAATAGTTTTCTCAATGTTTTTGTTGTTCCTTTGTTTCATTCTTCTTCACATGTGCTCTTCCTTTGTGATTGATGATTTTTCTGTAGTGGTATGCTATGATTTGATTCTGTTCTCTATTTTTGGTGCGTCTACTACAGGTTTTCTCTTTGTGGTTACCATGAGGCTTACAAAAAATTTATGGTTAAATCAGCCTATATTAAGCTGATAACAACTTCCTTTAGACTGCATACAAAAAACTCTACATTTTAACTTTTCCTTCCTCTACCTTTTGCATTGTTAATGCTGCAATTCACATCTTTTATATATAATGTATTCATTAACATATTATTGTACCTATCATTATTTTAATACTTTCATCTAATTTTTGTGACAATTAAAAGTGATGTATACTTTTATATGACAATTAAAGTTATAATATACACCATTACAGTATTAATGTGCTCTGAATTTAACTATATTCTTACTTTTATAGTGAGCTTTATAATTTTATAAATATTTATGGTATTAGTTTGCATCCTCTTATTTCAACTTGAAAAACTCCCCTTAGCATTTCTTTTTTTAATATATATTTTCAAATTTTATTTCAGATTCAAGGGGGTACATGTGCAGGTTTGTTGCATGTATATTGCATAATGATGATGTTTGGAGTACAATTAATCCCATCACCCAGGTAGTGAGCATAGTACCCAGTAGTTCATTTTTCAAGCCCTGACCCCTCCATCTCTCCCCTCTCTAATATTGCTATCTTTATGTCCATGAGTACCCAGTGTTTATCTCCCGCTTATAAATCAGAACATGTGGTATTTGGTTTCTTGGTCCTACATCAATTAGCTTAGAATAATGGCCTCCAGCTGCACTGATGTTGCTACGAAATACATGAATTCATTCTTTTTTATAGTTGCATAGTATCTCATGGTGTCTGTGTACCCCATTTTATTTATACAATCCATCATTGATGGACCTCTAGGTTGATTCCATGTCTTTGGTACAGTGAACAGTGCTGTGATAAATACACAAATACATGTGTCTTTTTGATAGAATGATTTATTTTCTTTTGGATATATACCCAGTAAGGGATTCCTGGGTCAAATGGCAGTTCTGTATTAAGTTCTTTGAGAAATCACAAGACGGTTTTTTCACAGTGACTGAACTACTTTACATTCCCACCAACAATGTAGAAGCATTCACTTTTCTCTGCAGCCTCACCAACATTTGTTGTTTTTTGACTTTTTAATAATAGCTCTTGTGGGCTGGGCTCGGAGGCTCATGCCTGTAATCCCAGCACTTTGGGAGGCCGAGGCGGGTGGATCACGAGGTCAGGAGATCGAGACCATCCTGGCTAACACGGCGAAACCCTGTCTCTACTAAAAAAATACAAAAAACTAGCCGGGCGTAGTGGCGGGCACCTGTAGTCCCAGCTACACAGGAGGCTGAGGCAGGAGAATGGCGTGAACCTGGGAGGCAGAGCTTGCAGTGAGCAGAGATGCACTCCTGCACTCCAGCCTGGGTGACAGAGTGAGACTCCGTCTCAAAAAAAAAAAGAAAAGAAAAATAGCCATTGTAACAAGTGTGGGATAATATCTCATTTTGGTTTTGGTCTGCCTTTCTCTGATGAGTAGTGATGAGCATTTTTTATATTTTTTGGCTAGTTTTATGCCTTTTGAGAAGTGTTTGTTCATGGAATTTGCCCATTTTTAATGGGATTTCTTTTTGCTTGTTCAATTGCTTACATTCCTGTTACATTCTGGATATCAGACCTTTGTCAGATGCATAGTTTGTGAATATTTTCTCCCATTCTGTATGTGTCAGTTTACTCTATTGATAACGTCTTTGCTTGTGCACAATCTTATTAGCTTAATTAGGTCACACTTGTCAATATTTTTGTTGCAATTGCTTTTGAGGATTTAGTCATAAATTATTTCCCAAGGCCAATATTCAGAATGGTGTTTTCTAGATTTTCTTCTAGGATTCTTATAGCTTGAGCTCTTACATTTAAGTATTTATCTTGAGTTAATTTTTGTACATGAAGAAATTTTGTACATGAAGAAATGAGTTAATTTTTGTACATGAAGAAATTACGTTTCTGCATATGGCTAGCCAGCTATCCCAGCACCATGTTTTGAATAGGACGTCCTTTCCTCATTGCAGATTTTCATTAACTTTGTTGAAGATCAGATGGCTGTAGATGCGTGTCTTAGTTTCTGCATTCTCTCTTCTGTTCCATTGGTCTATGTGTCTGTTTTTGTACCACTACTATGCTGCTTTGGTTACTGTAGCCTTGTAGTATAGTTTGAAGTCAAATAATGTGATCCTTCCAGCTTCGTTCTTTTTGCTTAGAAGTGCTTTGGCAATTTGGACTATTTTTTGGTTTCATATAAATTTTAGAATAGTCTTTTTCTAGTTCTGTAAAAAAATGATGTTGGTATCTTGATAAGAATAGTGTTGAATCAAAGCATGGCCATTTTAATGATACTGACTCTTCCAATCCGTGATTATGGATCACGTTTTTTCATTTGTTTGTGTCATCTATGATTTCTTTCAGCAGTGTTTTGCAGTTCTCCTTGTAGAGGTCTTTCACTTCCTTGATTAATTTTGATCAGTTTTCATGGTAGATATCTTTCACTTTCACTATGGTAAGCCCTATGCATTTTATTTAATTTGTAGCTATTGTATAAGGGATTACTTTCTTGATTTATTTTTCAGATTGTTCATTGTTGGCATGTAGAAATGCTATTGATTTTTGTATGTTGATTTTATATCCTGCAAATGTACTATTAATAATAGTCTTTGATGAAGTCAAAATGCCACTTGGTCATGATAGATGATCTTTTCAATGTGTTGTTGAATTCGTTTTGCTAGTATTTCCTTGAAGATTTTTGCATCAATGTTCATTAGGGATATTGGCCTGTAGTTTTCTTTCTTTGATGTGTCTTTGTCTGAGTGGGGTATCAGGGTAAAAGATTTTTCATGGTAATTAGATTTTTCCAAATATAAGGTCATATCACTGACAAATAAGAATGTCTCTCTTTCCAATTTGGATGCCCTGTATTTTTTCTCTTGTGAAATTTCTCTATCTAGGACTTTCAGAACTATGCTGAATAACAGTGTTGAAAATGTGTATTCTTGTCATGTTTCAGATCTTATAGGAAAAACTTGCGGTTTTTTTTTTCCATTCAGTATGATACTAGCTGTGGGTGTGTCATATATGGCTTTTATTATGTTTAGGTAAGTTCCTTCTCTTCCTAGTTTTTTGAGGGTTCTTATAATGAAGAGATATTGAATTTTATCAAATGTGTTTCTAGTGTCAACTAAAATGATCATATGGTTTTTGTCCTTCATTCTGTTGGCATGTTGTATCATATTCATTGATTTGCATATGTTGAACTATACTTGCATCCTTGGGAAAAATCCCACTTGGCCATGATAGATAATCTTTTTATTTTATTTTATATTATTATACTTTAAGTTCTGGGGTACATGTGCACAATGTGCACGTTTGTTACATAGGTATACATGTGCCATGTTGGTTTGCTGCACCCATCAACTCATCATTTACATTAGGTATTTCTCCTAATGCTATCCCTCCCCCAGGCCTCCACCCCCCAACAGGCCCTGGTGTGTGATGTTTCCCTCCCTGTGTCCATGTGTTCTCATTGTTCAACTCCCACTTATGAGTGAGAACATGTGGTGTTTGGTTTTCTCTTTTTGTGTTACTTTGCCGAGAATGAGGGTTTCCAGTTTCATGTTTTGTTAAATTGGTTTGCTAGTATTTTCTTCAGGATTTTTGTATCAATGTTCATCAGGGATACTGACCTGCAGTTTTCTTTGTTTGATGTGTCTTTGTCTGATTTGGGTATCAGGGTAATAGTGGGCTCATAGAAAAAGTTTGGATGTACACCCTCCTCTACTATTTTTTGGAACAGTTTTACTATGACTGGTATCGGTTTTTTTAAATTTTTTGTTTAATTCAGCAATGAAGCCATAGAATTCCAGGCTTTTTTTTTTTTTTTTTTGGCTGGGAGAATTTTTATTACAAATTTGATCTTGTCATTTATTATTGGTCTGTTTATGTTTTAGATTTCTTTATGGTTTAATCTTGGTAGGTTGTATGTGTCTAGGAATATATCTATCTCTAGGTTTTCTAATTTATTGCTATATAGTGGAACATAATAGCCACTGCTACTTCTTTGAATTTCTGTGGTGTCAGTTGCAATATATATTTTTTTAATCTCTGATTTTATTTCTTTGGATCTTCTCTCTTTTTTTCTTAGTCTGAGTAAAGTTTCATCAAATTTGTTTGTCTTTTCAAAAAATCAGCATTTTGTTTCGTTGATTTTTTGTGTTATTTTATTCATTTCCATTTCTTTTCTTTCTGCTCTGATTTTTATTATTTCTTCTACTAACTTTGGTTTTGGTTTGCTCTTGCTTTTCTAGTTCTTTGAGATGCATCATTAGGCTGTTTATTTTATGTTTTTCTTCTTTTTTGATGTAAGAACTTATAGATACAAACTCCCATCTTAGTATTGCTTTTCTGTACCCCATAGGTTTTAGTATGTTGTGTTTTCATTATTATTCGTTTCAAGAGATTTATTAATATCTTTATTAATTTATTCATTGACCCACTGGCCATTCAGGAGCATATTGTTTAATTTCTATGTATTTGTATAGGTTCCAAAATTCCTCTTATTATTAATGTCTAGTTTTATTCCATTACAGTAAGATAAGATGCTTGATACCACTTAAAGGTTTTGAATGTTTTAAGACTTGTTTTGTGACCTATCATATGATCTGTGTTTGAGAATGATCCACGTACTGAGGAGAAGAATGTATATTCTGCCACCATTATATGAAATATTCTGAAAATAGCTAATAGGTCTATTTTGTATGGTGCAAATTAAGTTCATGTTTCTTCATTTATTTTCTGTTTGGATGATCTGTCCAATGCTGAAAATGGGATGTTGATGTCTCCAGCTGTTACTGTATTCAGGTCTACCTCTCTCTGTATTTACCAGGGTTCTCTAAACGGACAAAACTAATACGATAGATGAATATATGAAGGGGAGTTTATTGGGATAATTGACTCACACGATCACAAGGCAAAGTCCCATAATAGGCCGTCTGCAGGCTGAGGAGCCTGGAAGATAATCCGAGTCCCAAAACCTCAAAAGTAGGGAAGCTGATAGTGCAGCCCTCAGTCTGTGGCCAAAGGCTCAAGAGCTCCTGGCAAATCACTGGTGTAAGTCCAAGAGTCCAAAAGCTGAAGAACTTGGAGTCTGATGTTTGAGGGCAGGAAGCATCCAGCATGGGAGAAAGATGGAGTCCAGAAGACTCAGTAAGTCTGTACTTTCCATGCCTGCTTTTATGCTGGCAGCTGATTAGATGGTGCCCACCCAGATTGAGGGTGGGTCTGCCTCTCCCAGCCCACTGACTCAAATGTTAATTTCCTTTGGCAACACCCTCACAGGGACACCCAGGAACAATACTTTTCGTCTTTCAATCCAATCAAGTTGACATTCAACATTAACCGTCACATTCTCTTTAGCTCTAATAATATTTGCTTTATATATCTGTGTGTTCCAGTGTTTAGTACATATATATATTTACAATTGTTATATCCTCTTTCTAAATTGATGCCTTTATCATTATATACTGACCTTCTTTGTCTCTTCTTATAGTTTTTGTATTGAAGTCTATTTTGTGTAAGTACAGCTACTCCTGTATCTTTTTTGGTTTTCATTAGCATGCAGTATCTTTTCTATCCCTTTATTTTCAGTCTACATATGCCTTTATAGGTGAAGTGTGTTTTTTTGTAAGCAACGGATTATTGAGTATTTTATTTTATGCATTCAGGCACCCTATATCTTTTAATTGAAACATTTAGTCCATTTACATTTAATGTTATTATTGATAGGTAAGGACTTACTCCAGGCATTTTGTTATTTGTTCTCTTGTTGTTTTGTGGTTCTCTATTCCTTCTTTCCTTCTTTCCTGTCTTCCTTTTAGCGAAGGTGATTTTCTCTGGTGGTGTGTCTTATGTTCTTACTTTTTATTTTTTGTGTGTTTGTTGTGTGGTTTTAGATTTGAGGTTACCATGAGGCTTGCAAATAGTATATTGTAACCCATTATTTTAAACTGATGACAACTTTATGCTGACTGCAAAAACTAACTTAGAAGCAAAAGGAAAAGTAATAAAAATTCTACACTTTAACATTGTCCCCTGCTTTTTAACTTTTTGTTGTTTATATTTACATCTTATTGTACTATCTATGTATTGAAAAGTTGTTGTAGTTATAATTTGTATGGGTTTATCTTTTCAACTTTCTACTTAAGATATGACTAGTTTACACTTCACAATTACAGTGTTATTCTGTGTTTTCCTGTGTACTAAATATTACCAGTAAGTTTTGTACCTTCCAAATGATTTCTTATTGCCCATTAACTTCCTTTACTTTTAGATGGAAAAACTCCCTTTAGACTTTTTTTGACAAGTCTCATGTTGATAAAATCCCTCCATTTTTTTTGAGAAAAATCTTTATTTCTTATTCATGTTTTAAGAACATTTTTACTCAATATACTATTATAGGTTAGTAGATTTTTCCCTCAGAATTTTAAATATGTCATGCCACTCTCTCCTGGCCTGTAAAGTTTCCACTGAAAAGTCTGCTACCAGACATATTGAATCTCCATTGTATGTTATTTGTGGCTTTTCTCTTGCTGCGTTTAGGATTCTATCTTTATCATTGACATTTCACAGTTTGATGATTATAAATGCCTTGAGGTAGTCTTCTTTGGGATAAATCTTCTTGGTGTTTGTACTCGAATACTGACATCTTTGAATAAACTTTTCATTCTTATCTCCACTTTAAGGCCAATAATTCTTAGATTTGCCATTTTCAGGCAATTTTCTAGATTTTGTAGGCATGAATCATTGCTTTTTCTTATTTTTTCTTTTGACTCTTCTGATTTTCTATTTTCCAATAACATGTCTCAAATCTCACCAATATCTTCTTCTGCTTGATCAGTTCTGCTGTTAAAATACTCTGATGCTCTTCAGTATGTGAATTGCATTTTTCAACTCCAAAATGTATGCTTGATTCTTTGTTTATTTTTAATTAGTTCAACCTGTTAAATTTGTATAATAGGATTCTGAATTCCTTCTCTGTGTTACCTTGAATTTCTTTGAGTTTCCTCAAAACAGCTATTTTGAATTCTCTGTCTAAAAGATAACGTATCTCTGTCTCTCCATGATTGTTCTCTGGTAACTTATTTATTTCTTTTGGTAAGGTAATATTTTCCTTTGTGGTCTTGATGCTTGTGCGTGTTCCTTGGTGTCTAGGTATTGAAGAGTTAGGTATTTATGGCAGTCTTTACAATCCGGGCTTGTGTGTACTCGTCCTTTTTGGGAAAATTTTTCAGTTATTCAAAGGCACTTGAGTTTTGTGATCTAAATTTTTGGTCACTGCAGCCATATCTGCATTGTGTGGTACCCCAAGCTCAGTAACACTATGGTTTTTGCAGACTCGTAGAGGTACTGCCTTAGTAGTCTTGGATAAGATCCAGAAGAATTATCTGGATTGCCAGGCATAGGCTTTTGTTCTCTTCTCTCACATTCTCTCAAACAGAGTCTTTCTCTCTGTGCTGAGCCGCCTGGAACTGTGGGAGGGGTGACATAATCACCCTTGTGGCCGCCACCGCTGGGACTGTACTCAGTCAGACTTGAAGCCAGCATAGCACTAAGTCTTGCCCAAAGTCTGTTGTAACCACTACCTGGATACCACCTCTGCCTGGTCAAAGCAGTAGGGCTCTGCAGTCAGCAGGTGGTGAAGCCAGATAGGCTTGTGTCTTTGCCTTAAGGGCAATGACTTCCCCTAGCCTCCAGGCAGGTCCAGAAATGCTGTCATTGAAACAGGCCTGAAGTCAGAAACCTTAGAAATCTACCTGGTGCTGGGGTTGTTTGTTTTTTTTTCATGTAAATTTGTTTGAATTCTTTGTAGATTCTGGATATTAGCCCTTTCTCAGATGAGTAGATTGCAAAAATTTTTTCCCATTCTGAAGATTGCCTGTTCACTCTGATGGTAGTTTCTTTTGCTGTGCAGAAGCTTTCTAGTTTAATTAGATCCCATTTGTCAATTTTGGCTTTTGTTGCCACTGCTTTTGGTGTTTTAGACATGAAGTCGCTGTCCATGCCTATGTCCTGAATGGTATTGCCTAGGTTCTTTTCTAGGATTTTTTATGGTTTTTGGTCTAACATTTAAGTCTTTAATCCATCTTTAATTAATTTTTGTATAAGGTGTAAGGAAGGGATCCAGTTTCTGCTTTCTACATATGGCTAGCCAGTTTTCCCAGCACCATTTATTAAATAGGGAATCCTTTCCCCATTTCTTGTTTTTGTCAGGTTTGTCAGATAGTTGTAAATGTGTGGTATTATTTCTGAGGGCTCTGTTCTGTTTCATTGGTCTATATCTCTGTTTTGGTACCAGTACCATGTTGTTTTGGTTACTGTAGCCTTATAGTATAGTTTGAAGTTAGGTAGTGTGAAGGATATGAATGGACACTTCTCAAAAGAAGACATTTATACAGCCAAAAGACACATGAAAAAATGTTCATCATTGCTGGCCATCAGAGAAATGCAAATCAAAACCACAATGAGATACCATCTCACACCAGTTAGAATGGCAATCACTAAAAAGTCAGGAAACAACAGGTGCTGGAGAGGATGTGGAGAAATAGGAAAATTTTACACTGTTGGTGGGACTGTAAACTAGTTCAACCATTGTGGAAGACAGTGTGGCAATTCCTCAAGGATCTAGAACTAGAAATACCATTTGACCCATCCATCCCATTACTGGGTATATACCCAAAAGATTATAAATCATGCTGCTATAAAGACACATGCACACGTATGTTTATTGTGGCACTATTCACGATAGCAAAGACTTGGAACCAACCCAAATGCCCATAAATGATAGACTGGATTAAGAAAATGTGGCACATACACACCATGGAATGCTATGCAGCCATAAAAAAGGATGAGTTCATGTCCTTTGTAGGGACATGGATGAAGCTGGAATCCATTATTCTCAGCACGCTATCGCAAGGCCAAAAAACCAAACATTGCATGTTCTCACTCATAGGTGGGAATTGAACAATGAGAACACATGGACACAGGAAGGGGAACATCACACACCGGGGCCTATTGTTGAGTGGGGGGAGCGGGGAGGGATAGCATCAGGAGATATACCTAATGTAAATGATGAGTTAATGGGTGCAGCACACCAACATGGCACATGTATACATATGTAACAAACCTGCACCTTGTGCACATGTACCCTAGAATTTAAAGTATAACAATAATAAAAAAAAAAATTTACCTGGTACTGTATTCTATTGCAGATGAGCTGAAACTGAAGCCACCAGACAAAGTGCTTTCTACTATTTCCTTCCCTTTCTCCAGGCAGAGGAGTCTCTTCTCAGGTCCACCACCACCACAGTCCTACAGGGAGTACAGCCAAGGTACAGCTGATGTTCACTTAATACTCAATGGCTTTTCAATGTGTGTTCAGTTCACTTAACACCCATTGCCACTTCATTCAATTCTGGTGAATGATTCCAGGCCTGGAACTCACCCTTCAGGGCAGTGTTCTCCCCTCTGGCCCAGGGTAGATCCAGAGATTCCATGTAAGAGTGGAGGCCTGTAATTGAGCTGAAGAGAAAGTACTCATTAATCTTCTCTCTGCTTTTCTCAAGCAGAAGGGGTCTCTCCTTATAGACACTACAGCTATGAATATTGTGGGTCACACCCGAAGCCAGCATATTTGAGAGTCTCATCCAAGGCCCATGACATACTACCTAAGTATCACTGCTGATTACTCAGGGCCCAAGACTCTTTAGTGAGCTGCTGATGAATCCTGCCAGGACTGGGTCCTTCTCTTCAAGGAAGTGGGTCTCCTTCTGGCCCAGGGTGGGTCTAGAAATGTCATCTTGGAGCTATAGCTTGAAATGGGGGCCTCATGACGCTGCCCAGTGCCCTATCCTACTGTGGTTGTGCTGACATACACATTGCAAGATAAAGTCCTTTCTACTCTTCCCTCTCCTCTCCTCAAGTGGAAGGAAGGGGTCTCCTTAAGAGCTGGGAGATGTGCTGCTCAGAGTTGGGGGAGGGGTGACACAAACACTTTCTTAGCCATCTGGATTTGTATCTTACTAGGTCATGTGCCCTCCAAGTCCACTGGCTCCAAGCCCAGTATAGCACTAGGGCTTGACTAGGAGTTGCAGTCCTCATGGCCTAGACTGCCTTTGAAGTTTGACCCAAGGTGCCAATGCTTGTTGAAACTCAAGCTCCGACCACCGGGATAAGCAATTCCCCTCCGGCTAGGGCTGGCCTAAATGCTACTTCCATGAGCACCAGCTGAGTTCTGCTTGGTGTTGACAGTACTGTGTTGAAGTGCAAAGTCCCACAATTGCTGTGCTGTCCCTCCCCCAAGTGCACAGATTCTTTCTCCATGCTACACTGCCAGCTACTGACAGGGTGATGAAACAGGGTTGGTGTCAGAAATTTAAGACGGTCTTTCCTACCCTCATCAATGCCTTTTTCAATGATATGAAGTTAAAACTAGGTATGGATTGCTCACCCGATGTTTTGGTTCTTATGAAGGTGCTTTTTGTGTGTGTGTAATTAGCTGTTAAATTTAGTCTTCCAGAGGAGAGGATAATTGGCAGAGGCTTTTATTTGGCCATCTTGCTCTGTCTCCTCTCCTCTTTTTATTTATTTATTTTTTTTACAGTAAACTATTTCATTTTTTTACATTCATGCAAACATACCATGTTCTGAATAATATAAAAGCATGCACACTGATGTCATTCTTATAAAGATAAACTAGGTAAAAAAAAAAAACTAAGCTATAAGTAAACAAAAATAATAATACAAACAGAAGTTTAATGATGTTGAACAGATTTACAGGTAGGCAGAGAGCTCTTGATTTTAGGAAATGATAATTCAAGTAAATATCCATACATGTTAAAGAGAAGTTTCTAATTTTCAAAACATTTTATTACAAATAGTTTTAAATACCATATTTTATAGACCTTTTGTGAGAAGAATATAAGTGTAGTCCTAAAAAAATAATACTCAAGTGATTGTATGCAGGTTTGTCTTGTTAAAATGAGTTATAATCGACATAATTCCAATGATATTGCTTCCTGAAGTGTAAATTTATATCACATTCATGATATTCAAAATAAGGTACACAATTTACATTTGTTTTGACCTAGGTGGAAATAAGTTCTAGATTTAGTGTAGTACTGTTCATAAATTTATTTAACAAGGTCATGGGAGGGATATAAATTTTACTTTACAGGAAATTGAAAATTACAATTTGGCATGAGGACAATTTTCATAAGTTTTATCTATGCCCCCATTCATAGTCAGGTCAACTGCATCCTGAGTGTATGTGAACATGTGTATACATCTACATACTAACATATACAAATTCATACTATGTGACTCTTCAAAGGTGTTGCTTGAAATGGCTTATTCTCTAGTTTTGGATAAGCAGTGTAATGCAGCCAGATATGATTTTCCTTAGTTTTTTTTTTTTCATTTTGTTTATCATGATTCAATCGGTGTGTTTCATTTGGATCATTGGTATAATTTTCTAGCAAAAATTCACTAGCAGTAAGCAGAAATGTTAACATAAAGAATAAGTAGCCAATCAAGTTTAAATTATAACATAAAAAAGAGCATTTCACATTTTTTTAAAAGCATTATTCTATGGAATATATTATTACGTGACTGGAAATTATGTGATTTCATTCTTGGAATGAAGCTCTTGTTCTGTGGTGACACTTTAAATTACTGTATAACTCCATTAAAACTAATGTAATATAAACAAATTAACTCTTAATTTTTGTTTTTTTGTTGTAGAGATGGATTTTCTCCATGTTACCCAGTCTGGTCTCAAACTCATGGGCTCAAGGTGTCCACCTGCTTCAGCCTCCCAAAGTGCTGGAATTACAGGTGTGAGTGACCACACCTGGCCAAGAATAATATTTTATAGAAGCCTGGCTAATACAAGGAATGCTAAGTCTCTAGATCACCATGAAAATGTACTAGGAGAAATAAAGTAGGTTTAAGGAATTTTTCATTTGGAATTTCTAGGCAGCAGGGGCTGAAATAGGTGTTCTAGTAATCCAGTGTGCTGTGGCTAAACCTAATACTGACACACAACAGCCTAATTCCCTGAGATACATTTAAAATATGGTGAAAAAACCCTAGAAATTCAAAGGTCTCTGGCAAACTGTGGATAGAGGCAAGCAATTCCAGGGACTTCACCAAGTAATAACTGCTATATAGACTTTCCACTTTGAGAGAGAAGCACAAGGTCATTCATATAGTGTGACATGTAATAAGCTGTCTGTTATAAAATATGGACTTCTAACATGTGGAATCACTGGTGACAGGATTGTGTGCTGTGGTTCAAAAGACCACAGAAATGGCAATTTGAATATAGACAGACTGAAATTATTTGATAAGCACTATTACATATAGACCTGAAAACTAGGAAAAATACATGGAAAAGGAGGAGACTGTAAGAGTTTGTAATCACCTAAGGTATTTTCTTATGACAGCCACCTACCAGCAGATAGAGCGATGTGGTGACTGATTGCTGATACTACCAAGTCTATGTAAGGAACACAGGAAAATTTACTCGCTACATTTAGCATCCTGAATATACTCAAGACTATTTTGATTTGAGGTATATGATTTGCAATAACTATCAGGATATCAAAAAATATACTTTATGTGGAGACAAAAAAGAAGTCCCTAGCTGCTTGCATATTTATGAGCTAAGACTGGATATTTGCTAATTTTTTCTACCGTAATACTGATGGCATGCTATTGACCATCTTGTCATATTGTCATGAATGTGATAAGATTTTAGCAAATAAGAAAATGCTTAATTTTGTGCAAAATGAGGCAGCATAATATATACTTTCTATTCTTATTAAAGGCATATCAGTTACAATGGCGGGTTGCAAATAACTAAAAGTGACATTATGGGGAAAATGCAGAATTCAATGGAATAGACAGAAAATTATTTCAAAATACTGGCACTTCAGCTATCATTGGTAACAGATATTTTGTTGCATGCTGTAAAACTACTAAAAAAATACACAAGTGCCATGATTTTATGGTTCAAAACTGATATGTCTGACTGGAACTTATACCTAAAATTTGTACCAGGCTTATTGAATAACACAACAAAGGAATAAATTTACGAACTTCTTCTTCTGAAGAACTAGACAGTGATAGTTTCATAAAGGAAAGATATAAATAACAAAATCTCAGAGGCTGGATCTTTGGGAAAATGGTGGGTAGGAGGAAGGACTAACTTACAGCTCCCACTTACATGGACAGAGCGGCGTGTGGAGACCCATATCCAAAACTTTTGCTTGAAGAACCACAGCAGGACCATACCAGGAAAGCCAAAGGAATCCACAGACCCTTTGAAAGAAGTGAATTGCTACTTCAGGCTCCAGGAAATGGCCGAAAAACTCTGAGTGCCCAAAGCGTGAAAATGTGAAAGGTGGATCGTCTGCCCCTAAACAAACATCCTCACTGGGGAACCTTAATGTCCACATCATGGGAGAAGGATTTGACTTTACCTGGAGCTGAGATGAACTTAGAGAGCTGAGCAAAATACAGGGATAGAGAAAGCTGTGGGACGAGGCCTGTTGGCATTCTTGGTTTCTGGGAAAGCCATTTCTGACTTTATCTCACAAGGATCCTTGGGTAAGGCCGCCAGTGGAATTGGGGAAAGACCACAGGGAGAAGGAAACCTCCAACTGAACTTTGTAACAATTTTGACAGAACACAAAGTTTCCTCGACATAATCTGGGGGAGAGGGTTAACTGGGGAGTGAAATCACAGCACAGAAGTTGTGGCTGGTGGGGAGGCATGAAACCTAAAGGCCCTGCTTGCTTTCACAGTAGGGAGACCTGAAGCCTGGGGCAAGTCCTCATCCCTGCACACCAGCTGCCTGGGAGTAAACTGGGTGCTGATGGTGGGGGCATAGTGGGAGTGAGACCAGCCTTTTGGGCTGCATGGGAGCTGGGTGAGGCCTGTAACTGCTGGCTTTCCCCCACTTCCCTGGCAGCCTGCATTATGCAGCAGAGGCAGTCATAATTCCCCTAGAAACATTCCTCTATTGGCCTAAGAGCCACACCCCAATCCCGCACAGCAGCCTCAGCAAGCCTGGCCCAAGGGGAGTCTGAACTCAGACACACCTAACCCTGCCCACACCTAATGGTCTTTTTCTACCCTTCCTGGTAGCTGAAGACAAAGAACATAATTGCTTGGGAGCTCTATGGGCTGCCTGCTGCCTGAGAAACTTATCCTCGTGACCTTAGGCAAGCTTGTGTCCTCCCTATACTACCACAGCTGATGCTTTCTTGAAAGCGCCACCTCCTGGCTTGAGGCCAATCAACACAAAACTAGCACAATAAACAAAAATACAACCAAGAACCCTCACAGAGTCCACTTCACTCCCCTGCTACCTCCACCAGAACAGGTGCTAGTATCCAAGGTTGAGAGACCTGAAGATGGATCACATCACAGGTCTCTTTGCAGACATTCCCAAGTAGCTGGGCACCTACATCCAGAAGAAAAATAACAATCACTGCAGTTCACTTCTCAGGAAGCCACATCCCTGAGCACCCACATCCGGGGAGCACCCCATGGGACAAAATAATCTGAACAGCAGCCCTTGAGCCCCAGGTCCTCCCTCTGACATAGTCTACCCAAATAAGAAGGAACTGGCAGGACAGTTCTGGTAATGTGACAAAGAAAAGTTCTTTAACACTCCAAAAGATCATGCTAGCTCACCAGCAATGAATCCAAACCAAGAAGAAATATCTGAATTGCCAGAAAAAGAATTCAGAAGGTCGCCTTTTAAGCTACTCAAGGAGGCACCAGAGAAAGGTAAATATCAACTCAAAGAAATTTTTTAAAAGTTACAGGATATGGACAAAAACAATCTCCAAATGAATACATAACATAAATAAAAGAGCAATCAGAACTTCTGGAAATGAAGGACACACTTACAGAAATGCCAAATGCCCTGGAAAGTTTCAGCAATAGAGTTAAACAAGTAGAAGAAAGAAATTCAGAGCTTGAAGACAAGGCTTTTGAATTAACACAATCCTACAAAGACAAAAAAAAAAAATTTTAAAAAGACAAAGTCTCCAAAAAGTCTGGGATATGTTAAATGGCCAAATTTAAGAATAATTGCTTCTTGAGGGAGAAATCAAAAAGTTTGAAAAACATATTTGAGGAAATAATTGAGGAAAACTTCCCCAGTCTTGCTAGAGATCTAGACCTCCAAATACAAGAAGCTTAAAGAACACCTGGGAAATTCATCACAAAAAGATCATCACCTAGGAACACAGTCTAAAGAATATCTAAAGTCAAGATGAAGAAAAGAATCTTAAGAGCTGTGAGGCAAAAACATCAGGTAACTTATAAAGGAAAACCTATCAGATAGCAGAAACTCTACAGACCAGAAGACATTGGGGTCCTTTAGCCTCCTTAAACAAAACAATTATAAGCCAATAATTTTTCATCTAGAGAAACTAAGTTCCATAAATAAGAAAATATATAGTCTTTTTCAGACACACAAATGCTTAGAGAATTCACCAACTAGCAAGCCAGCACTACAAGAACTGCTAAAAGCAGCTGTTTTGTTTCAAACTCTAAGTCTTGAAACAAAACCTCAAAATAAACCAAAATAGAACCTCCTTAAAGCATAAATCTAACAGGACATATATAAAAATAACACAGTGAACATAATCCTAAATATTCAGGCAACAAATAGCATAATGAATAGAATAGTACCTCACATCTCAATGCTAATGTTGAATGCAAGTGGCCTAAATGCTCCACTTAAAGTTACAGAAT
The DNA here is from genome assembly GCF_000001405.40 of Homo sapiens. Classification (NCBI taxonomy): domain Eukaryota; kingdom Metazoa; phylum Chordata; class Mammalia; order Primates; family Hominidae; genus Homo; species Homo sapiens. The sequence continues at coordinate 89,630,544 of NC_000023.11, read as the reverse complement.
GGCAGGATGATTAAAAATTCACCAAGTATCTGCTATCTTCAAGATACTCACCTAACACATAAATACTCATATAAACTTGAGGGAAAGGAGTGAAAAAAGATTTTCCATGCAAATGGACACCAAATGCCAGTAGGAGTAGCTGTTCTTATATCAGAAAAAAACACACTTTAAAGCAACAGCAGTTAAAAGAGACAAAGAGGGATTATATAATAATAAAAGGACTTGTTCAACAAGGAAATATAACAATTCTAAATATATATGCACCTAATACTGGAGCTCCCAACTTCATAAAACAATTACTACTGAACCTAAGAAATGCAATAGACAGCAACACGATAAGAGTGGGGGACTACAATATTCCATCGACTGCACTAGGCAGGTTAATAACAACGACAAAAAAAGACAGCAATTAGTAACAACAACAAAAAAATGGACTTAAACTATACCCTAGAGGGGCTGGGGGCAGTGGCTCATGCCTGTAATCTCAGCACTTTGGGAGGCTGAGGCGGGTGGATCACATAGGTTGGGAGTTCGAGACCAGCCTGGCCAACATGATGAAACCCCATCTCTACTAAAAATACAAAAAGTTAGCCAGGTGTGGTGGTGCATGCCTGTAATCCCAGCTACTCAGGAGGCTGAGGCAGGAGAATTGCTTGATCCTGGGAAACAGAGGTTGTGGTGAGCCCCTAGAATAGATGGATGTAATAGATATTTACAGACATTCTACCCAATAACTGCAGAATATACATTCTATTCATCAGCATAAGGAACATTCTCCAAGATAGGCCATGTGATAGGACACAAAACAAGTCTCAATAAATTTAAGAAAATCAAAATTATATCAAGTACTCTCTCAGACCTCTGTGGAATACAATTGGAGCCCAACTCCAAAAGAAACTCTCGAAAGCATGAAAATACATTGAAATTAAATAACCTGCTTCTGAATGATCTTTGGGTCAACAGCAAAATCAAAATAGAAATAAAAAAATTCTTTGAACTGAATGATAATAGTGACACAACCTATCAAAATCTCTGGGATACAGCAGAACATGTCTAAGAGGAAAGTTCACAGCCTTAAACACTTACATCCAAAAGTCTGAAGGAGCACAAATAGACCATCTAAAGTCACACTTCAAGGAACTAGAGAAACAAGAACAAACCAAACCACAAACCAGCAGAAGAAAATAAATAACAAAGATAAGAGCAGAACTAAATGAAAGTGAAAGGAAGAATAGAAAAATACAAAAGATAAAACAAAAAGCTTTGTATTTGAAAAGATAAATAAAATTGAAAAACCATTAGTGAAATTAACAAAGAAAAGAGAGAAGATTCAAATAGCTCAGTTAGAAAGAAAATGGAAGATATTACAACCAATACCACCGAAATACAAGAGACCATTCAAAGTTACTATGAACACCTTTATGCACATAAACTAGAAAACCTAGAGGATATGGATAAATTCCTGAAAATATGAAACCTTCCTAGATTAAACCAGGATTAAACCAGAAATAGAAACTGAGCAGACCAATAACAAGCAGTGAGATTGAAATGGTGATATAAAAATTGCCAACAACAACAACATCAAGAAGTCCAGGATCAAATGGATTTATAGCTGAATTCTATCAGACATTCAAAGAAGAATTGGTACCAATCCTATTGACACTGTTCCACAAGATAGAATAAGAAGGAATCCTCATTATATCAGTCTACGAAACCAGTATCACCCTAATACCAAAAACCAAGAAAGGACATGGGAGAAAAAGAAAACTAAAGACCAAGATCCCTAATGAACATAGATGTAAAAATCCTCAATAAACTACTAGCTAACTGAATCCATCAGCATATAAAAAGATAATGCACCATGATCATGTGGGTTTCATATCAGGTATGCAGGGTTGGTTTAACATAAGTAAGTCAATAAATGTGATACACCACATAAACAGAATTAAAAACAAAAATCACATGATCATCTCAATAGATGCAGAAAAAGCATTTGACAAAATCCAGCATCCTTTATGATTAAAACCCTCAGCAAAATCGGCATAGAAGGGACATAATTTAATGTAATAAAAGCTATCTATGAGAAACCCACAGCCAATATTATACTGAACAGGGAAAAACATAAACATTTCCCTAAGAACTGGAATAAAACAAAGATGTCCACTTCCACCACTTCTATTCAATATAGTGCTGGAAGTCATAGCCAGAGAAACCAGACAAGAGAAAGAAATAAAGGGCATCCAAATTGGTAAAGAGGAAGTCAAACTGTCACTGTTTGCTGATGATATGATTTTATACCTAGAAAACCCTAAAGACTCATCCAAAAAGCTCATATAACTGATAAATGAATTCAGAAGTTTTAGGATACAAAATTAATATACTCAAATCAGTAGCACTGCTATACACCAACAGATACCAAGGTGAGAATCAATTCAAGAACTCAACCACTTTTACAAAAGCTGCAAAAATAATAAAATAAAATAAAATAAAATAAAATAAAATAAAATACTTAGGAATATACCTAGCCAAGGAGGCAAAAGACCACTACAAGGAAATTACAAAACACTGCTGAAATAAATCATAGACAAAACAAACAAGTAGAAACACATCCCATGCTCATGGATAGGTAGAATCAATATTGTGAAAATGACATACTGTCAAAAGCAATCAACAAATTAAATGTAATTCCCATCAAAATACCACCATCATTCTTCACAGAACTAGAAAAAAAATTCTAAATTTTTATGGCACCCCCGAAAAAGAGCCATCATAACCAAAGCAAGACTGAGCAAAAAGAACAAATCTGGAGTCATGACATTACCCAACTTCAAACTATACTATAAGCCCATAGTCACCAAAACAGCATGGCACTGGTATAAAAATAGGCACATAGACCAATGGAACGGAATAGAGAACCCAGAAATAAAGCCAAATACTTACAGCCAACTGATTTTCAACAAAGCAAACAAAAACATAAAGTGGGAAAAGGACACCCTATTCAACAAATGGTGTTGGGATTATTGGCTAGCCACATGTAGAAGAATGGAACTGGATCCTCATCTCTCATCTTTCACAAAAACCAACTCAAGATGCATCAAAGACTTAAATCTAAGACCTGAAACCATAAAAATTATAGAAGATAACATAGGAAAAAACCCTTCTAGATATTGGCTTAGGCAAAGACCTCATGACCAAGAACCCCAAAGCAAATGCAACAAAAACAAATATAAATAGATGACACCTAATTAAACTAAAAAGCTTCTGTACAGCAAAAGAAACAATCAGCAGAGTAAACAGACAACCTACAGAGTGGGAGAAAACTTCTCAATCTATACATCTGACAAAGGGCTAATATCCAGAATCTACAAGGAAGTCAAACAAATCAGCAAGAAAAACAAACAGTCCCATCAAAAAACGAGCTAAGGACATGAATAGACAATTCTCAAAAGAAGATATACAAATGGCCAACAAACATATGAAAAAATGCTCAACATCACTAATGATCAGGGAAATGCAAATCAAAGCCACAATGCAATACCACCTTACTTCTGCAAGAACGGCTGTAATCAAAAAATCAAAAACTAATAGATGTTGATGTGGATGTGGTGAAAATGGAAGACTAGTACGACCACTTTGGAAAATAGTATGGAGATTCTGTAAAGAACTAAATGTGGATCTACCATTTGATCCAGCAATCCCACTACTGGGTGTCTACCCAGAGGAAAATAAGTCATTATACCAAAAAGATACTTTCACATGCATGTTTATAGCAGCACATTTTGCAATTGCAAAAATATGGAACCAGCCTACATGCCATCAATTAAGGAGTGGATAAAGAAAATGTGGTATATACCATGGAATACTACTCAGTCACAAAAAGGAACAAAATAGTGGCATTCACAGCAACCCGGATGGAACTGGAGACCATTATTTTAAGTGCAGTAACAGGAATGGAAAAGCAAATATCATATGTTCTCGTTCATAAGTGGGAGCTAAGCTATGAGGATGCAAAAGCATAGGAATGATACAATGGACTTTGGGGACACAGGGGCAAGGGTGGGAGTGGAGTGAGGGATAAAAGACTATACACGGGGTACAGTGTACACTGCTGCGGTGACGGGTGTACCAAAACCTCAGAAATCACCACTGAAGAACTTATCCATGTAACCAAGCACCACCTGTTACCCCAAAACCTGTTGAAATAAAAAAAATAGCTACAAAGGCCTCCAGATATTCTTAGCACAATATGACATGTTTTAAGCTTTTTATGAATAATCTTGTTTTAGATTAAGCAATACAATAAAAAGATAAGAAGCTTGAACTCTAGATCTATATTACCTGGTTTTAAATCATGTATTTAATTCATGTACTAACTTGAACTATGTTCTTGGCAAATTAACCCATCTGTGCCTTAGTTTCCTCACTTGTGCAGATATTTACTGTACATATTCATGATGGCATTGTGATAATTAAACGGATTAATGTTTATATAGCAGTTGCTGGCACATATGAAACACTACATGAATCATATTTAGTATGTGTTACACTAATGAAATATATCCTGAACTGTGTTACGTGTTATATGCCATGGGAGTTGGAATAGTTGTTTAATTTTTAAAATGTGTGTATTTGATTTTACGGTGTCTGCCAACCTGAGCAAATCTAATAAGAAAGGAAATTCTATGCTTGCTATTCAAGAATCACAAGCAAACAGATTTCACCAGTTGTGGAATAATGTGATTTTGTCCACGTAGAGCAAATATAGACAAATTGACTTCCAAGGCTTTGACAGCCCAAATAGCTAAAATGCTATTTATTTAGAAATGAAAACCATTAAAATTATTTTGAACATTGAGGAAAATTACAATGTATCTATGTCCCTATAGTCACTTCATTACGGATATTAGTATTTTTTATATGTTGGTCACAGTTGTGAACATCATACTTATAACAATTTTTAAGAGCAATAGTTAAGTCTCACCTGTTAGTAATGAATCAGCATTAAAATGGAAAATGTCTCCCTTTCAGGGTGCTAAAATTAGCCTTAGGAAATTGTGAGATAAGACTTAAGGTATATGCTGTGGGCAAACATAATCAAATAGTCATTACTAAGACAAACAATATAACCTCTTTAGACTATGAAAAAAAAATCCTACCAATCTCACTATATGACATATGTGAATTGAAATGACAAAATACAGAACAATAGTGATTTGATGCTATGCGCTAAATGGTGTAAGATCCTTTGATTTTGTTATAAATTTTCTCAAAATCTCAGATTTGCATTTTCAGACACTTAGAGATAAAAAATATTTGTTTAAAAATTAGAAAACAAAAACATTTTGATGTCCTTTTATCTTACACAATGAGTGCCTTGGTTCAATTTTTCTAAAATTAAAAAATTAACATAATCTATTAATATTTAAAAGAATTATTAGTTCTCAAAATGAAACTCTATAATCAGAAATCTTTAATTTGCCACCACATTTTTATGTTCATGGGAAAAAATGATTAGTTTGTACCTATAGAGAATTAAAATACCTATTCAATATGAGACAAAGGTTTGTTTAGAAAAATTCATCCATGTTTATTTAAATTGTACCGTAAAATGAATTACCACAAGACATTATTAGAGATTGATCATTAAGTTTTCACAAATGAAAATTAGCATATATGAGCACTGTGTATTAAACAAGTAATATCTAGTAAGTTACCCTACCAGGATTTCTTGTTTTATGAAAGATGGCAGCAAACAAAACTAATTAAAGAAAACATAATACATTTTATAGATGATTTACTGAGGAAGTTGAATTTTACATACACGAGGTGCCTCATTCAAATCTTCGAATTATTATTTAAACGTTTGTGTAGGACACCAAATTAATATTCAGACATGTTCAATTTAATGTTGTATTTCATTATTTGGTGTTTTATTTTAAATTATTTTCAACTATAGTTTTTTTAAAGTAATCTTACAGATACTGTGAGTCATTGGATAAGAATGAGCAAATAGGGAGTAAGCATGCAGTTCATGATTAGAAAGTTTAATTTGCTTTCTTTAATTTATAATCACATGTTATGTCTAAATCTTCCTTACTGTACAGGGACAGAAGAATGTAGTTATAATGGGTAATACCAGTCGCAGAAGTGAAAAGCAATTACAACTTGGCTGCTTTTCGCTTGTAGTCCCAGCTACTCAGGAGGCTGAGGCAGGAGAATGGCATGAACCCGGAGGGTGGAGTTTGCAGTGAGCAGACATCGCGCCACTGCACTCCAGCCTGGGCGACAGAGCAAGACTACGTCTCAAAAAAAAAAAAAAAAAAAAGAACTTGGCTGCTTTTCTTCTACTGTTATTGCTCTCCTACTCCTTCTCCCTCTTTTGTTTCTACTTCCTCCTTCGGCTTCTTTTTGTCTTCCTCTTCCTCCTCCTCCTTCTCTTACTTTCCACTTTGTTTTGGATGGGCACAACTAGGCAAGTGAAGCTACATTTTATAAAAGCTGATTGCATCAAAAACAACAAAAAATGTTTTTTGGAGTAAATGTATTATCTGACAAGCAGTTACTGGAATTTCATCATGCCAAGAAATATGTACATGAAGGGTCAATCTTCTAAGCAACTAATCTACATATAATATTTTGAAATATTCTGATACTTGACTGAATGTTAACTCTCTAGTTAGTTTTTAGCTAACTATGTGCATCTTTGTTGGTATATTGGTTCCACGCATGTTTCCAACTTTGCTATAAATTGTATTCTCCAGAAAAGTACCAGATGATCTCTTGAAAAATCAGGTAACTTTTCTCTCTGTTCTTTAATGCCTTTCGTTTATTGAGCTATATGCTTTAGGAAACAAAATAGAATGTTTAATATGTAAGCATATGAAAAAATAAAGAGATTTTGCCCTCATATAAATGTCATCTAAATAACACTTATATGCATGTGTGGAATTAAGCAAAGTGAATACAATAATATGTTTATGCATCTTTCTCCTCTTTCACTATGTCTACTCAGCTTAAATTCAGTGAGAGTAATATTAAAAATTCATAATGAAATTAATATACACATAATCTTTCAACATGCAAAAAATATTTTAACTTCTATGGAACATTAAGCAAAAAGAGACTAGTTTACTTTCATAATATTTTTGGGGAGCTGTAAGTTCCTTAAAAGAATAATTTAGAAGCCATTCTATGGACACCGAAGTATAAAAATATGTTGGAACATTAACACCTGAGTTGTAACTTTCATTTTTAACAGACTTTCCTCTTTAGTCACAACTGTTGCTTATATTCATATGTAAATGCGATAAAATAGCTGTCATTAAATAATAGTATGGATTAAAGCTGGGTTTCACTTAATATTTACCTAGCATTAGAGGCATTTTGAGAAGTGCTGTAGTATTTTTGGTAAAAAATGGTTGTTATGAATAGGGAGAATTCCCCATAATATATTTATCTAAAATGTTTGGCATTAGAAATATAGGAACTGTATGGAATATCAAAATTGCTTTTAAATTGTTACAAATATTGAAATAAATATCAGGATAGCAATGCTCACATCATACAAGTCTGTCCCAGAATTTCATCATAAAACAAGTTTAGGTATGAGATTGTCCTGGATTTATTAAATTGTTTTTTAATTAGGCTTGCAAATATCTAATTTATAAATTGCTTTATGTGTTGTGTGTGTGTTTGTGTGTTGTTGTTGTTGTGATTTGTTGGTTCTGAATATTGCCTTATAGTAGAGGTATAAAATAAGGCCTGAATTTGACAGTGAATATATTTGTTAATGTAAATTAGGTTATATTCTAGTAACAAACAACCTCTCCCTAAATCAGTGTCTTTATAATACAACATTGCCTCTCGCTTACTACATATTTCACATGGAAAGAGAATAGATTATTCCATACTCAATGACTCAGGATGAAGAAAGCACTACTTTCTTCTAACTGCAGTATTTGAAACACATGGCCTAAGCCAGAGAGATTTGGAGTAATTATGAGAAATCTTATTGAAATCAGCATAGAAATCACACACACACACACACACACACACACACACACACACACACACACACACACTGCTTTCCTTCACGGTTCTTTAGCCAGAAGGAGCTGCAAGATCTCACAAAAACACAGCACATCTGGAAAGTGCAGGCTTCCTTCTATCTGAAAGAACAATTGAAGCAGCTGTGAGAATGCACCAGTAATATCTATGATCTATGAAATTTCCTTTCTGTTTCATGAATCACAAGACCTTAAATAGATTAATGTGTAAGTTGTTTTTCAGGTCTCTAATATATTGTATGAGGGTGCACAGGGGTAGAGGGGAGTAAAAGTAGAATAAAGTGTCAGGATAAATATCTAGTCCAAATTAGCTTTAAAAAGAATATAATTTATATTTATATTATTAGGACAACATTTTGGTATGTCCTAGAATTCAGAGCCGATTCTTAAGGTAATTTGGATAGAATTTTGTTACTTTCAACAAAAAGTTCTAATTTGATTACCATATGGTTTTTTGATGTATATAATTTTATTCCAGTTTTTTGAAATTTGGGAATATATCTAGGGAATGATGAAAAAAATTGTAATAGCCTGCATTTTAAAGCAATCACTGTGTTCTAAGTACTATGCTGTATATATTTTACCTCATTTAAGTTTTCATCACGTCTGTGAGGTAAGTATTTACCCCCATTTTACAGATGAGGAAACTAGGTATCAGGAATTCAAATAAATGGCTCAATGTCATACAGCTAGTGAATTATCTAACTAGTAAAATATAGCTAGTGAGCTGAGATTTTAAATCCAGATTTACCTGATTCCAATAACTTCAAAGCCCATGTACCTAAATATAAAATTATTTTCACCAAATATACATGAAAATGTTATAAAAAGTTAATTAACTGATTATTGTAACAGACTAAATAACTGATTAAGTTAACTGGTTAACTGTTAAATAACAGATTTATTATTATAAGTGTTATAAAAAGTTAAATAACTGATTATTCCCCAACTCTGCCAGCAAGCAAAGACTTATGCTATGTATGTAAATTGAAATCATATTTAATGAAGACCTGTAATCAAATTTGTGAGCAATAAACTCAAATAACCTAAAATTTTAAAGTAGCAGTGTGGAATGGAATTTACATTCTTTATTGTTGTTGTTGAGACAGAAATAAACAAAAGCAAAAATTAACAAAGCGAATTCTCTAATTCTGAAGTGTCGTGCTATTACATTTCTCATTTGAATTACTTCTACAACGGTTACAGTTAAATGATATCAATTCCCTGAAAATTTCCTGAAATAAACAAAATATCTGTGGTTCATCTCTCCATTTTTGCCCATATCTAGTAGGTGAAATTATCACTTTATTATAGTAAGGCAGATGTAAATTTTTCATTTTGTCCACTTGAAACTGCATTTTTTAATCTTTAGTTGAATTTATTTATTTTTTTCTATTTTTAGTTTTATTGTATTTTTATTTTTATTATTATACTTTAAGTTCTAGGGTACATGTGCACAAGGTGCAGGTTTGCTACATATGTTTATATGTGCCATGTTGGTGTGCTGCACCCATTAACTTGTCATTTACATTAGGTATATCTCCTAATGATATCCCTTCCCCCTCCCCCGCCCCCACAACAGGCCCCAGTGTGTGATGTTCGCCTTCCTGTGTCCCAGTGTTCTCATTGTTCAATTCCCACCTATGAGTGAGAACACGCAGTGTTTGGTTTTTTGGCCTTGCAATAGTGTGCTGAGAATAATGGTTTCCAGCTTCATCCATGTCCCTACAAAGGACATGAACTCATCCTTTTTTGTGGCTGCATAGTATTCCACGGTGTATATGTGCCACATTTTCTTAATCCAGTCTACCATTTATGGGCATTTGGGTTGGTTCCAAGTCTTTGCTATTGTGAATAGTGCTGCAATAAACATACGTGTGCATGTGTCTTTATAGCAGCATGATTTATAATCCTTTGGGTATATACCCAGTAATGGGATGGCTGGGTCAAACGGTATTTCTAGTTCTAGATCCTTGGGGAATCGCCACGCTGTCTTCCACAATGGTTGAACTAGTTTACAGTCCCACCAACAGTGTAAAATTTTCCTATTTCTCCACATCCTCTCCAGCACCTGTTGCTTCCTGACTTTTTGGTGATCGCCATTCTAACTGGTGTGAGATGGTATCTCATTGTGGTTTTGATTTGCATTTCTCTGATGGCCAGTGATGATGAGCATTTTTTCATGTGTCCTTTGGCTGCATAAATGTGTTCTTTTGAAAAGTGTCTGTTCATATCCTTCGCCCACTTTTTGATGGGGTTGTTTGATTTTTTCTTGTAAATTTGTTTAAGTTCTTTATAGATTCTGGATATTAGCCCTTTGTCAGATGGGTAGATTGCAAAAATATTTTCCCATTCTATATGTTGCCTGTTCACTCTGATGGTAGTTTCTTTTGCTGTGCAGAAGCTCTTTAGTTTAATTAGATCCCATTTGTTAGTTTTGGCCTTTGTTGCCATTACTTTTGGTGTTTTAGACACGAAGTCTTTGTCCATGCCTGTGTCCTGAATGGTATTGCCTAGGTTTTCTTCTAGTGTTTTTATGGTTTTAGGTCTAATATTTAAGTCTTTAATCCATCTTGAATTAATTTTTGTATAAGGTGTAAGGAAGGGATCCAGTTTCAGCTTTCTACATATGGCTAGCCAGTTTTCCTAGCACCATTTATTAAATAGGGAATCCTTTCCCCATTTCTTGTTTTTGTCAGGTTTGTCAGAGATCAGATAGTTGTAGATGGGTGGTATTATTTCTGAGGGCTCTGTTCTGTTCCATTGTTCTATATCTCTGTTTTGGTGCCAGTACCATGCTGTTTTGGTTACTGTAGCTTTGTAGTATAGTTTGAAGTCAGGTAGCATGATGCCTCCAGCTTTGTTCTTTTGGCTTAGGATTGTCTTGGCAATGTGGGCTCTTTTTTGGTTCCATATGAACTTTAAAGTAGTTTTTTCCCAATTCTGTGAAGAAAGTCATTGGTAGCTTGATGGGGATGGCATTGAATCTATACATTACCTCGCAAAGAAGCTAAAAACCTTGAAAAAAGATTAGACGAATGGCTAACTAGAATAACTAGTGTAGATAAGTCCTTAAATGACCTGGTGGAGCTGAAAACCGTGGCACGAGAACTATGTGATGCATGCACAAGCTTCAGTAGCCGATTCGGTCAACTGGAAGAAAGGGTATCAGTGACTGAAGATCAAATGAATGAAATGAAGCGAGAAGAGAAGTTTAGAGAAAAAAGAGTAAAAAGAAATGAACAAAGCCTCCAAGAAATATGGGACTATGTGAAAAGACCAAATCTACATCTGATTGGTGTACCTGAAAGTGATGGGGAGAATGGAACCAAGTTGGAAAACACTCTGCAGGTTATTATCCAGGAGAACTCCCCCAGTCTAGCAAGGCAGGCCAACATTCAAATTCAGGAAATACAGAGAACGCCACAAAGATACTCCTCGAGAAGAGCAAGGCCAAGCCACATAATTGTCAGATTCACCAAAGTTGAAATGAAGGAAAAAATGTTAAGGGCAGCTGGAGAGAAAGGTCAGGTTACCCACAAAGGGAAGCCCATCACACTAACAGCAGATCTCTTGGCAGAAACTCTACAAGCCAGAAGAGAGTGGGGACCAATATTTAACATTCTTAAAGAAAAGAATTTTCAACCCAGAATTTCATATCCAGCCAAACTAAGCTTCATAAGTGAAGGAGAAATAAAATCCTTTACAGACAAGCAAATGCTGAGAGATTTTGTCACCACCAGGCCTGCCTTACAAGAGCTCCTGAAGGAAGCACTAAACATGGAAAGGAGCAACCGGTACCAGCCACTGCAGAAACATGCCAAATTGTAAAGACCATTGATGCTGGAAAGAAACTGCATCAACTAATAAGCAAAATAATCAGCTAACATCATAGTGACAGGATCAAATTCACACATAACAATATTAACCTTAAATGTAAATGGGCTAAATGTTCCAATTAAAAGACACAGTCTGGCAAATTGGATAAAGAGTCAAGACCCATCAGTGTGCTATATTCAGGAGACCCACCTCACGTGCAGAGACACACATAGGCTCAAAATAAAGGGATGGAGGAAGATCTACCAAGCAAATGGAAAACAAAAAAAAGCAGGGGTTACAATCCTAGTCTCTGATAAAACAGACTTTAAACCAACAAAGATCAAAAGAGACAAAGAAGACCATTACATAATGGTAAAGGGATCAATTTAATAAGAAGAGCTAACTATCCTAAATATATATGCACCCAATATAGTTGAATTTATATGTTATTATATAATTATTGATTTAAAAACGCACCTTACGATAAGATATATCTTAGATTCAGAATGGGAATAACATAATTGCTAACATGTCTATGTATGAAGCTTCTAGGTAAATATTTGACAAAAGTGAAGTAGGCATTTATTTTAATCCTGTCTTTTGAAGAATGGTAAAATAGTCTTCAAAGCAAAACCAGCCCCTTCGCTGTCCTGGTTTGGTACTTGAAATCATCAGGATAATTTTTTATTTTAAGATCCTTCCTAAAGTCTTAAATTTATGTGATTGTGTTATAAGAGCTATCTATACTATCTGTTATTTACATTAATGTTATCTACAATTAAGGATATCTTCATTAACAAAAACAGAAAATATTTTCTAGAACGATTTCTGACTACAGTCTTCTAGAAAAGAGAAGGCAGCTTTAAGAAAAGGAAAGGCAGGATGGAAGAATTTTAAGGGATAGAAGAAACAGTAAAGAATGCAGCCTTAGGCCAAATTAGCATATGATGATGGATTATGGACCTAAGCCCTCCAGAATAAAGCATAAAAATATTGGTGGATAGGAGAAAGCAATAAAGAGAGAAAGAAGAGTTATCCAATGGGAGAATGAACTTGAAGTAGGCCAGTCAGGAAGTGTGCCTGAACCAGTGGTGTGCCCAGAACTCAAACCATAATCATAATATTTATCCATTAAATCTTGTGCGTCTTTATTTTAAAGAAACCGGCCTTCTCAAATCCATTTTGAATCATTTTCATGAGAAGTATGGCAGTCAGCCTAATGTATGTCAGTATATCTGAATTCCCAGTAGACTAAGGTGTGTTGCGACATTGTAATATATTTAGTAAACTCATATTATGTCTCTTCCAAAACACAAGTTAATCATACTGTATGACAAAATAATATGAACATATTGTTATTACAAACTTATTTTTATGACTAAAGTTAGAGATTCAAATAGAGTAGTTAGATTCCTAAACTAGTTTTTTCTCTGCCCTACGAGGCTAAGCCAGGTGTTCTGAGTCTTTTGCCTCTCCATATAAAGCTTAGAATCACTTTGTCAATATCCACCAAATAAATTGCTGGGACTTTAATTTTGATTACAATAAATTTATAAATCAATTTGAGAAGAACTGAACATCTTGACAACATCAAGTCTTCCTATTCATGAAATGAAATATCTCTCCATTTATTTAGTTTTTCTCTGATTTCTTCGTCAGAATTTTATTTTCCTCATACAGATTTCATACATATTTTATTAGACTTATATCTGAGTGTTTCAATGTTGGTGGATGGTAATGCAAGTCATATTTTGTATTCAGTTTCAAATTCCACTTGTTCATTGCTGGTATGTAGGATTTGTGTATTCAGTTTCAAATTCCACTTGTTCATTGCTGGTAGGTAGCATAATAATTGACATTTGTATATTAACCTTATATCCTACAACCTTTCTGTGATAACTTATTAGTTTGGGAAGTGTTAATTTTTCACTCAGTCTTTCAGATTTTCTACATTGACTGTCATGTCATCTGCAAAAAAAGACAGTTTTATTTCTTTCCTCCTGCTCTATATACCTTTTATTTCCATTAATTGTATTATTGCATTATGGAGGACTTCCAGTAAATGTTAAAAATGAGTAATCAGAGCAAACAATCTTGCCTTATTTCTTATCTTAGTGGGAAAACTTCAGGTTTCTCACTATTAAGAATGATGTTAAGTGTAGGTTTTTTTGTAGCTATTCCTTATTGAGTTGAAAAAAGTCCCCTCTATTCCTAGTTTGCTAGAACTTTTTATCATGAATAGGTTTATGGATTTTGTCAAGTGCTTTTTATGCATCTATTTATATAATCATGTGATTTTTCTGTATTAGCCTGTTGATATGATTAATAGCATTAGTTGATTTTTTAATGTTGAACCAATCTTGCATACCTGGGATAAATTCTACTTGGTCATGGGATATAATTATTTTTATACATTGTTGGATTTTATTTGCTAATATTTTGTTAGGAATTTTTGTATCTATGTTCTCAAGGCATATTGGTCTAGGTTTTTGTTTTTTGTTTTTTTTTGTAATGTGTTTCTCTGATTTTGGTATAAGGGTGATGCTGGCTTCATAGAATGAGTTAGAAAGTGTTCCCTTTGTTTCTATCTCCAGAAAGAGATTGTAGAGAATGGGTGTAATTTCTTCTTTAAATGTTGGATAGAATTCACCATTGAATTCATCTGATCCACCTCATGCTTTCTCTTCATGGAACATTATTTGTTATTGATTCAGTTATTTTAATAGATGCTATTGTTTGGCTCTCTGTTCCCACCCAAATCTCACATTAAATTGTCATAATCCCCACATGTCAAGGGCAGGACCAGGTAAAGATAAGCGAATCATGGGGGCAGTTACCACATGCTTTTCTCATGATAGTGAATGAGTTTTCATGAGATCTAATGGTTTTATAAAGGGCTTCCCCTGTCACTTGCCACTCATTCTCTCTCCTGCCACCCTGTGAAGAGGTGCCTTCCACCATGATTGTAAGTTTCCTGAGGCCTCCCCAGCCATGCAGAACTGTGAGTCAATTAAATCTTTTCTTTATAAATTACCCAGTCTTGAGTATGTCCTTATAGTGGTGTGGAGAGTGGACTAATACAATAGACATAGAAAGATATAGATTGCTTCTGTTTTCTTGTGTGAGTTTTGCATGTTTTTTGTGTGAGTTTTCTTGTATGAGTGTGTCTTTCAAGAAATTTGTCTACTTTATCTAGGTTGTCAAATTTTAGGCATAGAATCGTTCGTAGCATTTCTGTATTATGTTTTAATGTTCATGTGAATTGCAGTGATGTCTAGTAATTTACATTTTCTGTCTCTATTTCTCTCTTATTGCCAGTCAGCTAACTAGAGGATAAATGATTTTATTGATCTTCTCAAAGCACTAGATTTTGGGTTCTTTGATTTTCTCTACTAATTTGCTGTTTTCCACTTCTTTCATGTTTGTTCTAATTTATACTATTAATTTTTTTCTGCTAACTATAAATTTGATGTGCTCTTTTTTCCTGCTTTCCAAAAATGGAAGCTTAAACGATTAATTTTTCACCTTTCTTCTTTTATAATACAGTTTGAGTATCCTTAATTCAAAAATACAATATCTGAAGCTTTTTTGGGGCCAACATGGTGCTTAAATGTAATGATCACTTGATGATTTTGGATTTCAGATTTTGGATCAGATATGCTCAACCAGTAAATATAATGCAAACACTCCAAAATCCAAAAAAATCCCAAGTCTGAAACTGTTATGGTGTCAAGCATTTTTGATAAGTGATATTCAAACTGTATATGAGTTTAATGCTATACATTTTTCTCTAAGCACTGTTTTTATTTCAACCTACACATATTGATAAATTGCATTTTAATTTATATTTAGTTAAAAAATTTGTTTAACTTTTATTTTAGGTTTGGAGGTACATGTGAAGGTTTGTTACGTAGGTAAACATGTTTCATGGTGATTTGTTGTGCAGATTATGTTATCACCCTGGTATCAAGCCCAGTACTCAATAGTTATTTTTTTCTCCTCCTCTACCTCGTCCCACTCTCCTCCCTTAAGTAGGTAGGGCCCTGTGTCTGTTGTTTCCTTCGTGTTCATAGGTTCTTATCATTTAGTTCCCACTTACAAATGAGAACATGTGGCATTTGATTTTCTGTTCCTGAGTTAATTTGCTAAGGATAATAGCCTCCAGCTCCATCCATGTTCCCATAAAAGACATGATCTCATTGTTTTTTATGGCTGCATAGTATTCCATGGTGTATATATACCACCTTTTCTTTATCCAATCTGTCCTTGATGGACATTTAGGTTGATTTCATGTCTTTGCTATTGTAAATAGTGCTGCCATGAACATTTGCACATGTGCCTTTATGGTATTTAATTAAACTTAAGAGCTTCTGTACAGCAAAATAAACTAATAATAGAGTGAGCAGACAACCTACAGAATGGGAGAAAATATTTGCAAACTATGCATCTGACAGAGGCCTAATATCTAGCATCGGTAAGAAACCTAAATTTACAAGAGAAAAACAACCCCACTGAAAAATGAGCAAACGACACAAAAAGACACTTCTCAAAAGAAGACATACAGGTGGCCAACAAGTGTATGAACAAAAGCTCAACATCACTGACCATTAGAGAAATGCAAATCAAAACCACAATAGATATCATCTCACACCAGTCAGGATGGCTATAACTAAACAGTCAAAAAATAACAGATACTGGTGAGGTTGTGGAGAAAAGGGAACACTTATACATTGTTGGTGGGAGTGGAAATTAGTTCAACCATTGTGGAAAGCAGTAGGACAATTCCTCAATGAGCTAAAATAGAACTATCATTCAACCCAGCAATCCCATTACTGCGTATATATCCAGATGAATATAAATTATTCTACCATATAGTTCAAAATATTTTAATGTCTTTTGATATTTTTGACCTATGTGCTATTTATAAGTTTATTATTTAATCTCCAAGTATTTTGGGATATCCATCTCTCATTATTGATTTCTAGTTTAATTCCATTGTGGTCTGACAGCAGACTTTGAGTGATTTATATTTTTAAAAATTGGTTAAGGTATATTTTATCACCAAGAATATGGCTTATCTTGGTAAATGTTCCATGTAAGCTTAAAAAACATGTATTTTGTTGTGCTTGGATGAAGAAGTCCATAGATGTGCATTAAATATTAGAGAGTATTTTAAATCCAGGAATGGTCATACTACAACGGGATGACTAGATTTCATTCCAGCCTATCTATCTGTTAAGATAGAAGATAGATGTAAACTGTAGTGGAAACATTATCAAACTCTTTATTGAAAAAAGCCATGGAGAGATTATAGATTTTTCTTAGGACTATTTTTCATGACTGTTCAAACTCTGATATTATTCATCTTCTACATTTATATCAATTATTTATGTCAATTATTTATTATACATTTGTTTTTCTTTTCTTTTGTTTGTTTTGTTTTCTTTTTCTGCAAACTTTTTTCTTTGCTGATATCTTCTCTTTATAAAAAGTCAACCCTGAAAATGGGGTAATATATTAACTAGAAAATTATGAGCACAAAAAAGCTAGAAACATCTTCCTTAAAGTCAAGAATGATACAATGCTACTCATGCTTATTGCACTTTAATTATGGATGTCCTAAAGATTACAGTTTTAGAGAAAAAACAAGTCAGGCATAAATAAGTATATAAAAGTCAAGTCAAGCATAAATACGTATTAAAAAATAAGTCAAGCATAAATAAATGTATAAAAGAGCATAATAATTATCTATTTTTGAAGGTGATGTAATTGAATTTCTGGGAAGCAGATCAAGTTAATAATAATGTATTGTGTATTTTGACACTGCTTAAAGAGTAGATTTTAAACATTCTCACTACAAAAAAAGTAGGTGAGATAAAGTTTATGTTAATTAGCTTGATTTAATATTTTTATAATGTATATATATGTATATATCAGAACATCACATTGTGCTCCATAAATATATACAATTATTATTTGCCAATCAAATATATTGGCCAAATGATCTTAAGATTTCCAACCATTCCCTCAAATCACAAAAATGCAAAATCATGTTTTCATAACTTCAATTTTACAGTGTTGGTTCTAGAAACTAATGATAGAAATTAAATTACATATAAATACATAGAAAGATACAAAATTGCATGAAAAGAAAAACTCAGCATTGTTAAGATGTCAATGCTACTAATAATTATCAATGTCATTAATAAAATGGAGCTACAGATTCAATGTATTCCTAATCCAAAATTCCAGCAGGCAAGTTAGAGAAATTGTTAAGGTGACATAAGACATGTATGGAAACAAAAATGACCCAGAATAACTAAAATAAAATACATATATACAGAATATGTGAATGACACATCTCAATAATAAAAAGACAAATAAATTAAATGGACATTTCTTCAAAGAAGATATAAAAATGTCCAATGAGCCATTATTACATCATTATTCATCAGCAAAATGCAATGAAAACTACAATGAAATATTCCTTCACACTCACTAAGGTGGCTAGAATCAAAAGTCAAATAAAAAAAGTTTTCCCTTGGTCGTGGAGAATTTGGAACCCTCATACACTCCTTGTGGAAATGTAAAAATGATGCAAATACTTTGTGTAAGAGTCTGGCAGTTCCTCAAATGATTCAACACAGAAATAACAGAGGACCCATTGATTACATTCTGAGGAAGATAAAATGAAAACATATGACCATACCAAAACATTTAGAAAATTGTTTATAACTGCATTATTCATAATGGTAGAAACAGCCAATGATAGCAACAAGCCAAAAGTTCAATTAGCAAGTGTATAAAAAATGTGGTATATTTATAAAATAGGATATTATTTTGTCTTAGGAATAAAACACTGATACATGCTACAACATGGATGAACATTCTTCTAAGTGAAAGAAGCCATTCACAGAAGCCTGCCCATTATGTGATTCCATTTGTAGAAAATGTCAAGTGCTGGGAAATCTATAAAAACAGAAAGCAGATTAGTGTTTCTCTAAGGTGAGGGAAGGTGAGGGTAATTGATAAGTAGTACTTGTTTTTGTTTTGCTGTGAGGAAAATGCTTTGAAATTGATTGTGGTGATGGTGAAACATAAATGTGAATATATTAAAAAACCATTAATTTGTACTGTAAGGACTAAGGGAATACTGCCCCTTCACCCTCTGAAGGTTCACTAAAAAACAACCAAAAAAAGACAGATTAATAGGAGGAACAGCATACAAATTTATTTGATCAATTTTGCATGACACAGGAACTTTCTGAATGAAGATCCAAAGATACAAGGGAAACTGTCCAGTTTTATACTTATAAACAGCAAAGTATAGATGCCATGTAGACATATGTTTGGACAAAAGGTTTATGATGTATTTCTAATAGACTGAGTAGAAAAACCTGGCAAGGCTGGTCTGTTTAGATTCTTCATGGCCTCTCTGTGCAGCAATCCTTCCTCCTGGGATAAGACAGAACCTTCTCTGGAATGGAGGTCTGATGACCTATAATCAAACATAGTCGATCAGGTGATTTTTTTACGGCAAGTTTTTACACAGAAAAGTGGTGGAAGGAATACATAATCGTTTTAGGTTTTGTGTCTGGCTTTAGAGAAAAGGGTTTCTGGTTTCTATGACCCACCTTGAATTAGTTGCGTTTCTAAGATCCACCTTCTACTGTCTATGGCTAGCTTTGAGGGAGAATGAGAGTCAGAGACAGAAGGGTATGAGAGTGTCAGAGAGAAACTATTGCTTCTGAGGCTACTTCTGAGACCTTCATTCTTAGCACCAACATTCTCCATTCTGAAACTTCCTTAAGAATTTTCACAGTCCAGAAATTAGGTCAATGGATTATCTTATAAGCCATTGACTCAGTCTCTCAGTCTCAGAATAGGTCAGTCCAGTTAAACAGTTAAAGCTGTGTCTCAGTTCAGGCAGTGGTGTTGAAGATGGTCTTCTACCAATGTCAGGCCTCTATATGATTTGAGCAACCAGATATTTAATAAAGGGTATTTCTATGTAAACAATAGAAAAGCAAAGGTTAATGGGTAGAACAAACTATAAACTCAATTTTTGAGTCCAAAAAGCAGCCGGTTGAGAAGAATGTTAGATGTTCAGCTTGAGGCATATTTGGATGGCATGAGAACAGATAGTGGTAATCTGACAGAATTTTCCTGGTTTGCAGTTTCCAGTGAACACCAGATGCAAAATGCAAACCAGGAAAATTCTGAGTAGTATATTCAATTATAGGCATAGAAGTTGCCTATACATAAGCTCTTGCAGTGATTTCTATGAAGTTGATATCAAATTGTCCAATTTTAGTTTGCAGGATTTCAGGAAAGAATAGTTTTAATTTCAGGGATTTCAAATAAAAGCTGTGGGAGAAAAATGGCAAATATTAGTTCAGAAAGTCATAGTCATATATTGGAGAAAACTAAAAAAAATTTCAGGATTCAATTCCAGATTTGAGATTGATAATAAACCCTCAAAATCAATGAGGTAAAGTCTATTAATAGGTGTACTATAGCATTTTCCCCTAAAACCTGTTTTTTTTTCTCTCTACAGTCACCCCCATTTTTTTACCAAAGATAATCCTGGTAAGACTAATTCATTTGCAAAGTAAGTTTAGTATTTGGCCTGATTATTTTTGTAAAGTACAGTAATAATAGTTACTTACTATATAGACTTTTTAGAAGTTGGCTTTGCTAAAACTTTTTAATAAGGAATTTTAGGTCAGGTATTTAAAAGTCTCTTGAGGCTGCGAAGCCCAACCAAGGATTCACCTTCAGACTGTTCCTGTAATATCTGTATAAATTCGGTAATTTCCTCTCTTCTCAAGATCCCAAAATATATTGGGATTCCTAACCCTGTCAGAAACTAACATTATTTAGTAACTACAAGGATAAGAATCCTGTAAGGCTATCATGTAGACGAGGTACCAGATTAGTCATTTTCCAAGTCTATTGGCTTTATGAAGTAAGGATAAGTTCCTCAAAGTAGTCTGGTCACATTTGAAAAGATGACAATTTATTTAAAGCCATTTGTATGCCTTCTTTTGTGGAATATCTATTCAGATAATTTTCCCATTTTGTAAATTGATTATTGTGTTTTGGTGTTGGGAGTTGAGTTCTTTGTATATTCTGGATATTAATCCCTTATCAGATGAATAGTTTGCATATATTTTCTCCCATTCTGCAGATCATCCCTTCACTCTGGTGATTTTTGTTTCCTGTGAAGAAGTTTTTAGTTTGATATCTTATTATTTGTCTATTTTTGCTTTTGTTGTTTGTGCTTTTGAAGTCTTATCTATAAACTCTTTGCCCACACAAATGTCCTGAAACATTTACCCTATGTTTTCTTCTAGTAGAATTATAGTTTTGGGTCTTACGTTTGAGTTTTTAAATCATTTTAATCTAGTTATTGCATATAGTGAGAGGTAAGGGTTTATTTTTATTCTTCTGCATATGGATATCTAGTTTTCTGAGCATCATTTATTGAACAGGCTTTTATTTTATCAATGTATGTTTCTGGTTCCTTTGTTGAAAAGTAATTAACTGTAAATGCACAGATTTATTTCTGGGCTCTCTATTCTGTTCCATTGGTTGAAGTGTCTGTTTTTATACCAGTACATGTAGTTTTAGTTACTATAAGTTTGTAGCATATTTTGATGTCAGGTGGTGTGACATCAGGATGTTCTTTTTCTCAGGATTGCTTTGATTATTTGTGGTCATTTTGTGGTTCCATACAAATTTTTGGATTTTTTTTATCTTTGAATAATGTTAATGGGTATTCTGATAGAAACTGCATTCTGTCTGTAGCTTCCTTTGGGTAGTATGGTCATATTGACAGTATCAGTTCTTCCAATTCATGAACATAGATTGTCTTTTTATTTTATGTGTGTCCTCTTACATTTATTTCATTAGTGTTTTATAGTATTTGTTGTAGAGATTTTTAAATCTCCTTGGTTAAATTCATTCCTTGGTATTTTTGTAGCTATTACAAATGGGATTTCTTTCTTTTATAAACTGGTTCATTATTGGTGTGTCTGTATATATATATAATTAATAATAATAATTTAATAATATACTTTTAATTATATATCCATATGAAAGAAACTAGAGCTAATAAATATATCCCTATAAAAAAACACAAACATAAAGCAATGTTTTCTTTCAGCACTTTGGCAAGAAAAGTATAAGATTAACATTGTATTTCTTTTTGTGTTAGAATGTATGAAAACTCTCATGCAGTAATGTATCATGTTAAACCAGCATCATACATATGTAGACAGCACAAAAAGCTGTCTACATAAGAGGGCTTCTATTAGTCACAAACAGAATAAAATATGTAGTAGACTAAAATACTTTAAATGTATAAAATTATATATTCATAATTATAATGATATGATTTAAAAAGCCAAAAAAAGCTCATTGAACTCCTATAGAAATAAACAAGAAAATACCAGTGTTGCTCTAAAAATTTGCTTTGTACCTTTAGTGATTTTAATCAGCTTGGATATTAAAAAAATAAATCTAATATATGAAACATATTCAGATTTGGCCAAAAAAGTCTCTGAAAATTATGTGCAATAAGAAGGAATAGCTCTAGTGCATATTAAAAACAACTGTTAATCTCTAATAATAAAAATATGGGTACTGAGTTATAAATATAAATTAGGTCAGTGGAATAGACTAGAGAAGTCATAATAGGCCTAAAATCCACTAGGAGATTTTGAATAACATAAAAGTGACATTTTCAATAGGCATGAGAAAGATAGCTTATTTGATAAATCATGCTTAGGAAAAAGAATATTACTTGGAAAACTATACTGTTTACCTGTATCTCACTTCTTACACTACTATATATTTCAAAAAGGTACAATATAAACACAATATTAAAAATAAAATAAAAACAAAAACAGAGGCCACAGTTTAGATACCCCAAGGCTATGATTACAACCATCCATAGCTATACAATCAAAACTAAAGTCATCCTGATATCCCCCAAAGCACTTTTTTCCTCATCAGTATAATTCAAAAAAAATTAAACCAATAAGCTATAGACAAATACGTTTAAACAGTTCTATTTGACTTCAAATAAATGTATGACCAACATAACAAAACCCCATCTCTACAAAAAAATACAAAAACATTAGCTGGGCGTGGTGGTACATGCTGTTAATTCCAGATACTCAGGAGGCTGAGGCAGGAGAATCACTTGAACCTGGGAGATGGAGGTTGCAGTGAGCTGAGCTTGTACCACTGCACTCCAGCCTGGGTGACAGAGTGAGACTCTGTCTGAAGAGAAGAGAAGAGAAGAGAAGAGAAGAGAAGAGAAGAGATGGGACGGGACAAGACTGAAAATAATTGAGCTAAATTCTAAACTCAGGAAGTTAGAAAAAAACTAAAAACAAGCCAGATAATGTGTGTGGAAGTGAAGGATAGAATTAAGGGAGAGTAAAAGCAAAATCAATTAAATTGAAATATTACAAAAAGAATGGCCTATAATCTAACTAACTAAATAAAGTCATATCAGCTGCATAATTTAAAAAAATAAAACTCAAGTCCAAAAAATGAAATATGTCTCATAGAAAAGACATACATATCTGTCTATCTATCTATCTATCTATCTATCTATCTATCTATCTATCTATCTATATGTATTGACACAAGTAGAAGACCACATTAGGAATGACAAATAAAACATAACTACAAATTTGTATATTTAAAAGTTATAAAATAATTATATGTATGTATTAGTCTGTTCTCATGCTGCTAGTAAAGACATACTCGAGACTGGGTAATTTATAAAGGAAAAAGGTTTAATTGACTCACAGCCACATGGTCAGGGAGGCCTCAAAATCATGGCTAAAGGTGAATGAGGAGCAAAGTCATGTCTGACATGGTGGCAGGCAAGAGAACTTGTGTAGGGGAACTCCTCTTGATAAAACCATCAGATCTCGTGAGACTTATTCACTATCACGAGAACAGTATGAGAAAAATCCACCCCCATGATTCAATTACCTCCCACCAGGTCCCTTCCATGGCACATGGGAATGATGGGAACTACAATTCAAAATGAGATTTGGGTGGGGACACAGCCAAACCACATCAATGTATACATGTATAATAATAAAGTTCCAAATATGAAAAAAGTGAGGTTTTTGTCAGGGAAACACATGGGACTCAAAATGTGATCCAAAATAGGTTGATGCTTTCTTGTCTTTACTGAAAATATGTCTCGTATGCTTGGAATATAGGTACTTAAACACAAAAAAAAAGGTCATCAAGATTACTTACTGTTATAGCTATCATAAAATACAGTATCACTATTTTCATGGCATGTAAATATACACCATACTTGAAAAATTTTGTTGAGAAAGGTTAAAATTATTTTTTAAAATGGTTTAATGGCTAAATAGTTTATAGTAAAGTTTCCAAGTTCAATACATATTTAAACCAAAGTATTAATATATTAGGACCCTTAGAATCAATACTATGTAATTAGAAAGCAACCACTTTACCTAATGTTGTCATAATTACCTCTGCATTTTAGATCCAATAATGGTGTTACCTACAAGACATAATCATTTCAATCTAAAAAATAATAACAATGTTTTTTCTGCACTAGTACCTGGTGACAGGTTTGTCTAAGATCTGTGGCAATGTGTGTAGTGCACAGAAAGCTAGAAGCAACTTTTCAACTTTAAATTGCAATGGAAATGTGTATGTAATGTATTTGCTCTTCTGGATGTCTAGAAAAACAAATAAAATGTATTTATTTGAATTCACAAAATCAACAAGACTGTAAAATCTGGCGCTTAAACTTTCCTTCTTTTGACTTGCATGTTAATGTATTCATGATTTCCTAATTCTAAATGTGTTCTAACAAAAAATAAACAAAATGTCTAGTTTATTCTGTAGTAATAGGATATGCTGTTCAAGAGCAATGAAATATTAAGAAACATAAATTTGTAAACCAGTTTCACTGATTCAATCCTTCTGTAAGAAAGAAATAACATTTTGTATGATTTTATTTACAATATTACATTGTGGTTCAGCAACTTAGTAAAAACTCAGGTTTCCTGAACTTCCAGAAATTCAAATGTATTTAAGGAGCTTAAATGATATATTTGTGTCTTTTTTATTATGTTGCTTTATTTTGTTTCATCCTTGCTTCTTATTTTAAGTCCAAAGGGAAAATACACAAATTTTTTTAAAGTTATAGGAAGAAAATAAATTTCTGACAAGTTTGAAGCTTTCTGTAATTCATTTAAGCTCACCACAAGAAATACATTTTATTTCCTCAAGAAAGCATTGAAAAGATGTAAAGGAAAAAGATAATACATTAAAAACATGGTTGGAGAATTCCCTTGTCATGATAAATGTTTATTTAAGGCATAATATAGTATGCCTTAAATAACTCAGTTAGCAGTTTAAAATTTTAGAAAGATGTATTAAAGCCATGTTGGGACTGCTATAAAGAAATTCCAGAGACTAGATGATTTATAAAGAAAAGAGGTTTACTTGGCCCATGATTTTCTAGTCTGTCTTAGCATGGCTCCATCATCTGCTTCTGGTGAGGGCCTCAGGAACCTTACAATTATGGTGGAAGGTAAAGCAGGAGCAGGCACATTACATGGTGAGAGCAGGAGCAAGAGAGCCAGAGAATGAGAAGAGCAAGCCAGGCTCTTTCAAACAGTTACTTCTCATGTGAACTCACTCATCACCAATGGTATAGCGTGAAGCCATTCATGAGGGATCTGCCTGCATGATCAAATCACCTTCCACCAAGTCCTACCTCCAACATATGATTTAGAGGGGACAATATCCAAACTAGGTCATTGCATCCCTGCCCCCTCCTATCTCATGTCCTTTACACATTGCAAAATACAATCATCCCTTCTCAATATTTCCCCAAAGTCTTAAGTTGTTCCAGCATCAACTCAACCAAATGTGCCAAGTACCAAGTCCAAAGTCCAAGATCTCATGTGGAGATGAGTTCCTTTTACCTATGAGTCTATGAAATCAAAAGCAAATATTTTACTTCCAAGAAACAATGGTGGTACACGTATTGGGTAAACAATTCTGTCTTAAAATAAAGAAATTGGCCAAAAGAAAGAGGTAATAGGCCCCATGCAAGTCTAAAACCTAACAGGATAGGCATTATATCTTTTTTTTTTTTTTGAGACGGAGTCTCGCTCTGTTGCCCAGGCTGGAGTGCAGTGGCGCCATCTTGACTCACTGCAACCTCTGCCTCCCGGGTTCAAGTGATTCTCCTGCCTCAGTCTCCTGAGTAGCTGGGATTACAGGTGCACACCAACAGGCCTGACTAATTTTTGTATTTTTAGTAGAGACAGGGTTTCACCATGTTGGTCAGGCCGCTCTCAAACTGCTGACCTCGTGATACACCCACCTTGGCCTCCCAAAGTGCTGGGTTTACAGGCGTGAGCCACCATGCCCAGCCAGGCATTATATCTTAAAGCTCCAAAATAATTTTTGACTCCACGTCCCACATCCTGGTTTGAGGGGTGGGATCCCAAAGCCTTGGACAGCCTTGTCCCTATGGCTTTTCAGGGTCCAGACCTGTGGCTGCTCTCATGGGTTGGAGTTGAGCATCTGTGGCTTTTGTAGGCCCAGGATACAAGCTGCCTGTAGCTCTACCATTTGTGGTCTAGAAGGTGGCAGCCTCCTTCCCACAGCTGCACTAGGCAGTACCCCAGTGGAGACTCTGTGTGGAGCCTTTAATCCCATATTTCCCCTCTGCACTGCTCTGGGTAGTTTCTCTGGGGGCTATCCACCCCTGCATTACTCTTCTGCCTGAAAACCCAGGCTTTCTGATGTATTCTCTGAAATCTCAGGGGAAGGTGCCAAGCCCCCTTAGCTTAGTTCTTGCATTCCTTGTGCCCACAGACTTAACACCACAAGAAATCACCACCAAGGCTTACAGTAGCTTGCACTCTTCAGAGCTGCAGCCTGACCTGTATGTGGGCCCCTTTGAGCCAAGGCTGAAGCTGGAGAAGCCTCCTGGGGTGATACAGGGTAGCAGGGCCCTGGGCCTGGCCAGTTAAGCCATTTTCTCCTTCTAGGCCTCTGAGCCTGTGATGGAAGTGGCTGCCTCATAGATTTCTGGAATGCATTTGAGGCCTTTCTTTCCATTGTCTTGGCTATCAGCACCTGCTTCTCTTTTAGTCATGCAAATCCCTCTAGCAAATGATTGCTCTGCCAACTTGGATTCTTCCTCTGAAAATGGACTTTTCTTTTTTCTACCACATGGCTAAGCTATAAATATCCCTACTATGATTATCATGCATATAATGAACTATTATGCTCTGCATCACTTTCAAATATGCATTCCAATTTTAAGTATTTTCTTTGCTCCCACATCTGTGGTAAGTGGTTAGAAGCAGCCAGGCCACATCTTGAATGCTTAGTGGCTTAGAAATTACTTCTGCTGGATACTTTAAGTTATCACTCTTAAGTTGAATCTTCCACAGATTCCTAGGTCATGAACACAATGCAACTAAGTTTTTTGCTAAGACATAACAAGGGCGACCTTTGCTCCAGTTCCCAATAAATTTCTTATTTCAATCTGAGACCTTGTTAGCCTGGACTTCACTGTCCATATTACTATAAGTGTTTATTATTTTTATTTTTATTTTGAGACAGAGTTTTCCTCTGTCACCCAGGCTGGAGTGCAGTGACACAATCTCGGCTCACTGAAACCTCCACTTCCCGGGTTCAAGTGATTCCCCCCCAACCTCAGCCTCCCAAGTAGCTCGGATTATAGGCACCCACCACCATGCCCAGCTAAATTTTTGTATTTTTTTTAAATTCTTGACCTCAAGTGATCCACCCACTGAGGCCCCCCAGAATCCTGGGATTACAAGTGTGAGCCACCAGGCCCAACCCACTATCAACATTTTGGTCACAACTATTTAACTAGTCTCGAAGAAGGTCCAAACATTTTCTCACCTTTATGTCTTCTTTTGAGTCCTATGGTCTCTTCCCACCTCTGTCTATTACCCAGTTCAAAAGCTGCTTCCCCATTTTAATGTATCTTTATAGCAATGCCTCACTCCTTAGAACCATATTTCTGGGTTCGACCATTTTTGCATTGCTATAAAAAATACCTGAGACTGCATAATTTATAAAGAGAAGAGGTTTAATTAGCTCGTGGTTCAGCAGTCTGTACCAAAATGGCTCCAGCATCTGTTTTCGTTGAGGGTCTCAGGAACCTTACAATCATGGCGGAAGGCAAAGTGGGAGCAGGCATCTCACATAGCAAGAATGGCAAGAGAGAGGGAGTGAGAGGACGGGGCCAGAGTCTTTTAAACAATCAGCTCTTATGTGTACTCATTCATCACCAAGGGGATGGCACTAAGCCATTTGTCAGGGATCTGCCCCCAGGATCCAATCACCTTCCACCACGCCACACCTCCCACATTGGGGATTACATTATAACATGAGACTTGGAGGAGACAAACATCCAAACTATATTGAAATATAATATTCAATAAAAGAAAAAGCTAACACACTAGTTTATAATCTAAATAAATAGCTGTCACATATTTTAAAAGAGTAAACCCAAAGACAATAAGTGAAAAAACATTTTTATGTCACGCCCTTATTACTAGTATTTTATTAACAAACTGAAAAGAGCTAACCAGTTAATAGTGAATATGTAAACAGTAATTGAATCATTTGGCTTCTAATAGAAAATAATAAGATCAAGGGATAAGAGAGTTAGAAATATTTCCTGAATAAATTTTAATATTCCTTCCTCATTAAGGTCTCCTCTTGGCCTTCTAACCCAAGTCATCATGAATAAAGAGGAAAATGAAGAAATAAACCATTTCATATTTGCAAAATCCACAGATCCTCCACCACTGACTTCCTGGAATCCCATCATAACTGGCTGTTTATAATGCCTTTTATTTCTGTTAATACTGGTCACTGTAAGAGGCCCTAGTTTTCCAGTCTCTGGACACCTCTCATACCTTAATCCAATAAAATTATGCATGGCTCTTACTGTGTTTCTTTGTAATACCCTTCCCTAACTCTGGAAGCCTCATCTTTGTGCTTTTTGATACTAACATTTTATCATCCTTAAAATCTCCTATATTCTTAATCTCCTTTGTTATATTCCTTCTTCTTACTCTAACAGAAAACGGAATATTTCCTAAGGACACTTTATGCCATAGAACCTTCAAAAATAATGCCTGTTTTGTTTTGTTTGCTTTGTATTTCTCTAAGAGTCTTCATCTTACTGAAGACTGGAAGGGATTGAAGGGGTGTGATATGGTTTGGCTCTGTGTCCCCACCCAAATCTCACCTTGAATTGTAATAATCCCCATGTGTCAAGGTCAGGACCAAGTGGAGATAATTGAATCATGGGGGTGGTTTCCTATGCTGCTCCCATGATACTGAGTGAGTTCTCATGAGATCTAATGGTTTTATAAAGGGCTCCCCACTTTACTCAGCACTCATTCTATCTCCTGTCACCCTGTGAAGAGGTACCTTCTGCCATGATTGTAAGTTTCTTGAGGCTTCCCCAGACATGTGGAATTGTGAGTAAATTAAAACTCCTTTCTTTATAAATTACTCAGTCTTGGGTGTTCATAGCAGCATGAGAATAGACTAATACAGTAAATTGGTACCAAGGGAGTGGGTTGCTGCTATAAGGATAACTGAAAATGTCGAAGCAACTTTGGAACTGGGTAACAGGCAGAGGTTGAAACAGTTTGGAGGGCTCAGAAGAAGACAGGAAAACATGGGAAAGTTTGGAACTTCCTAGAGACTTGGAGGGCTCAGAAGACAGGACGATGTGGGAAAGGTTGAAACTTCCTAGAGACTTGTTGAATGGCTTTGACCAAAATGCTGATAGTGATATGGACAATGAAGTCCATGCTGAGGTGGTCTCAGATGGAGATGAGGAACTTGTTGGGGACTGGAGCAAAGGTCATTCCTGCTATGCAAAGAGACTGGTGGCATCTTGCCCCTACCCTAGATATCTGTAGAACTTTGAACTTGAGAGAGATGATTTAGGGTATCTGGCAGAATAAATTTCTAAGTGGCAAAACATTCAAGAGGAAGCAGAGCATAAAAGTTTGGAAAATTTGAAGCTTGACAATGTGACAGAAAAGAATAAACTATTTACTGGGGAGAAATTTAAGGCAGCTGCATAAATTTGCATAAGTAATGAGGAGCCAAATGCTAATTGCCAAGACAATAGGGAAAATGTCTCCAGGACATGCCAGAGACCTTCAGGGAAGCCCCTCTCATCACAGGCCTGGAGGCCTAGGAGGGAAAAGTGATTTCCTGGACCAGGTCCAGATTCCCCCTGCAGTGTGCAGCCTCAGGATTTGGTGCTGTGTCTCATCTGCTGCAGCATGGCTAAAAGGTGCCAAGGTACAACTCAGGCCATTGCATCAGGGGATGCAAGCCTCAAGCCTTGGCAGCTTCCTTTGGTGTTGAGCCTGCATGTGCAAAGATGTCAAGAATTGAGGTTTGGGAACCTCTGCTTAAATTTCAGAGGATGTGTGTAAATGCCTGGATGTCCAGGCAGAAGTTTTCTGTGGGGGCAGAGCACTCATGGGTAACCTCTGCTAGGGCACTGCAAAAGGGAAATGTGGGGTTGGAGCCCCCACACAAAGTCCCCCTGGGGTACTGCATAATGGACCTGTGAGAAGATGGCCACCATCCTCCAGACCCCAGAATGGTAGATCCACCAACAGTTTACACCGTGCACCTGGAAAAGCTGCAGACACTCAATGGTAGCCTGTGAAAGCAGCCACAAGTGGGACTGTACCAAGCAAAGTCACAGGGGAGGAGCTGCCCAAGGCCATGAGAGCCCACCTCTTGCATCAGCATGACCTGGATGTGAGACATGGAGTCAAAGGAGATCACTTTGGAACTTTATTGACTGCCTTGTTGGATTTCAGACTTCCATGGGGGCCTGTACCCCTTTGCTTAGGCCAATTTCTCCCATTTGGAATGGGTGTATTTATCCCACTCCTGTACCCCCATTGTATCTAGGAAGTGACTAATTTGCTTTTGATTTTCCAGGCTCATAGGCAGTAGGGACTTGCCTTGTCTCAGATGAGACTTTGGACTTGGACTTTTGGGTTAATGCTGGAATGGATTAAGATTTGGGGGGACTATTGGAAGGGCATGATTGTGTTTTCAAATGTGAGGACATGATATTTGGGAGGGGCTAGGGGCAGAGTGATATGGTTTGGCTCTGTTTCCCCACCCAAATCTCACCTTGAAGTGTCATAATCCTCATATGTCAAGGGTGGGACCATGTGGAGATAATTCAATCATGGGGGTAGTTACCCCCATGCTGTTTTCATGATGGTGAGTGAGTTCTCATGAGATCTTATGATTTTTTAAGGGGCTTCCCCCTTCACTCAGCACTCATTCTCTCTCCTGCCACCCTGTGAAGATGTGTCTTCCACCATGATTGTAAGTTTCCTGAGGCCTCCCCAGCCAGCAAAACTGTGAGTCAATTAAACTTCTTTTCTTTATAAATTACCCAGTCTCAGATGTTTCTTCATAGCAGTATAAGAATGGGCTACTTTAGAGTGGTAAGCATATTTTTTGCTACTCATTGAACTTTTCAATCTATTTTCTCTACTCTTTTGTCCTTTCATGTCAACAGATTACGTGAGTGTTCTCTGTTCTGAGAATTTGATAGAGGTCAAGGCAGATAAAATTTCTTTCACCATGGAGAATAGTTTTCATTCAAAATATACTGATAATAAAGCTGAGTAAACAGACAATAATAAATGTCTATATATTTTAAAGATATACTATTTGATCTCACTGGATAAAATAGTTATGATATATTTTGTTGGTGAAACTTAGTCTATTCAAAGACAGTTTCAATCACATATTTAATATTAGTTGGCATATATTCACAATTTGCATAATCCAATAACTCTATTAACATAAAGACATAAAAAGCCATGTGAAAAAGGTGAAAAAGGGTGAGATCTGATGTGTAAAAAGAGAGATTATAAAAAAAGAAAAATGAAACATTGAGAGGAAAATATATCAAGAAGTTAAGCTTTTAGATTTCTTTTTTGATGAATTTGATATATAACATCACCAGACCCTTATTAAACTATATATAATATGAAATATCCAGAATGTAATTTCACTTTTAAAAAAATGACATTTCCTAATAGAAGAAAAAATTACACAAAGAGATAAGACTGTTTCTATGCATATGTGATTTGAGATAACCTTAAAATATTAGTTTTTGGAGGTTTTTTAAATTTTTCCTAGAGAGGTTAAACATGAATGAAAGACTACTTCCAACATGGTATAGAAGAATATGGAAGGGAAATCCTAGAGAATTATTTGGAAAATATGAAGTGCTTTTAAAATTTTAATTAATAATCACTTTAATAGTTATAGAAGTCATTTATCAGTAAACTGATCACTGTTTTGTAGGGGAGAATACTTCCCTATAATGTATATAGAAATAGAGGGTATAGATGTAAAGATTCACTGATGCCATTATTTTCAAGTCATTTGCAGAGTAGGGTTAATGTGTCTATGTAAACTATACCAGTGTATATGATATGGTTTGGATCTGTGTCCCCTCCCAAATCTCAGGTTGAATTGTAATCCTCAATGTTGGAGGTAGGGCTTGGTGGGAAGTGATTGGATCATAGAGCTGTTCCTCATGAAAGGTTTAGCACCACCCCCTTGGTGCTGTTCTTATGATAGTGAGTTCTCACGAGATCTGGTTGTTTAAAAGTGTGTAGTACCTCTCCACTTCCCGCTCTCTCTCTTGTTGCTGTGGCCATGGGATGCCTTGCTGCCCCTTTGCCTTCTGCCATAATTGGAGGCTTCCTGAGGCCTCCCTAGAAGCAGAAACCACTACACTTCCTGTACAGCCTGCAGAATCATGAGCCAATTAAACCTCTTTTCTTAAAATAAATTACCCAGTCTCAGGTATTACTTTATAGTAATGTGAGAGTGGACTAATACAGTGTATGTGTATAAATGTGTATGTTAGTGTAAGAAAGCACTTAGATAAAGTTATTTGAACTAAAAATAATAAGGCCATTAATACATTTATATTTTTCTTGACTTCATTTATTTTTATGTTTATTTAAATGGCAGGGTTCCTTATATTGATAAGGCAAAAATAATACTGCCAAGAAAAGTTTTATAGAAGAAGCTTGGCTGGGCATGGTGGCTAATGCCTGTAATCCCAGCACTTTGGGAGGCCGAGGTGGGCAGATCACCTGAGGTCAGGATTTTGAGACCAGCCTAGGCAACATGGAAAACCCCGTGTCTACCAAAAATACAAAAATTAGCCAGGCATGGTGGTGTGCGCCCGTAGTCCCAGCTACTTGGGGAGGCTGAGGCAGGAGAATCACTTAAACCCAGGGGGAGGAAGCTGCAGTGAGCCGAGATCTCGCCACTGCCCTCCAGCCTGGGCAACAAAGTGAGACTCTGTGTCAAAAAAAAAAAAAAAAAAAAAAAAAAAAAAAGATGCTTGCTATAATTTTCCTGGTTTTGTAAGAATTGGATTGACAAGACTTTAAACACTTTCCTTCTTGAAAAATGTCTTCATATTTTGTAAGTTTGAAATGGTTACCTGAGATGCACTTTATTGTTCTAACATATACCTTTCTCATAGGTGAATTTTAAGCAATTATACATAAAATATAGCAGAAACACAAAATAGTACAGATGTTTCCTAACTTAGATAGTTCTGTGTATATGCTTCTACTTTTATTACGTTTCTTTTCATTAAGAAAACTTAACCTCAATGTCCTAAAACTAGAACCCTGTTGCCTAACTGAAACTTCCCTGAGACCATGCTGAATAAATTGGTAAGTGAGGAAAATATAGACATCAATGGTTCCATAAATATTTAACTTTCCATAGCATTAACTTTATATGGTATTCAGTCATTCCTGCACACTGAATAATAATATTTTTAAATTATATAGTTCTAAACTTGAATGCCATTTGAAGATCCTTGGAACTATGAAATATCCCTATATTTGCTAATGGGTAAAAATACAAATGCATACCAAACTTCACTAAATATATACATGAAGAATTGCAACCTTTCCAGCCATGCATACAAATTCTCCAAAAGACAATATAAAAGGTAGGTTACATACTGGGTGTTTGTTTTTAACATACTTAATGTTTGTAAAATACTTCAATGCTTGTAAAGCAAAAAAAAACTATGTAATAAAGAAAAGCATGGTGGTTAAATTATCGACCTTGATATTGTTATTGAATAAATTGTGTTTTTAGAATAAGAATGTCAAACTAAAAGTTGTGTTTCCTTGCAGAAACAAAAATTCAACCTTCAAAGATGCAATATGCTCTCATGCTTAGCAAACAATTTCAACTGGATGAGGGTCAGCTATGTATTCTAGCTGATACAAGTTGGAGTCTAAAAAGGGAAAAGTCAGAGAAATTAGGCAACTTTTTTTTCTTAAAAATATTAATCAACATTTTATATATACTAGTTTTCTCCAGTTTTAATATAATCATTCCTTTTTTAGCTTATGATATTTGATAAATATTTACATCTATTTTAACAAAACCTGGTTTGTCCAACTAATATAGTATTTTATAATTTATCTTTTTACTATATCTTCTATTGTCATTTAATTAGAAAAAACTTAGATTTATAAATGTCCTTTGTTTTATTTACAGTTAAAACAGCCACAGTTCATTTACAATTTATCCCAAGAGAAATTTTAGGTTAACTAAGTTAAAATTCAAATGACTATTTCCTGCTTTTTTTAAATCTGAGAGTCACAGATAAAAAGTATTTTAAGAAAATAGCATAATAATTTATTGTCTATTTGTTTTGATGACTTTCACATAATAGTTTTCACTCAGATATTTTTTCATATGATCATTAATCTTTAACATTTTAATCTTCTTAGCTGAAGCTTCCTTAAAGTCTAATTATTATGTTTAATGTTAACGCATTAAACTATAAAATTAGAATATATGCATATATGTATTTAATTTTATACTTTTAAACTACAAAAGTACTGTATGCTTGCTGTAGCCATTGAAAACATAAAGAGATGTATAAAGGTCATATACTAGCGGTGCCAATAGCTTCTCTAACTTCCAATGCTCTCCTGCCAAGATTACTAAAATTAACTTTTTGGTATGTATCATTTTCTGTACTTACACAAGCAAATACTAGTTCAACGAGCATAATATTTCTGAAATATTTTATATTTTAAGTTTTTTAAAGCCAGTATCTTTCTTACACCCTTACTCACTTACCCAAGGGATTATAGTGAAGTGAAAGGAAAATAGGACATAAAATTTCACCTAGAGAGAAAATAACAGAAAAATCAATATTTTCTGATATTGAGGAGATATAAATTTAATTCATTTTTAAAGGAACCATCTTTTGGTTTCATTGGTTTTCTGTATTGCTTTTGCTTGTTTTCTAGTTCATCGATCTATGCCCTTTTTTAATATTCTTTTTTTGCTTGTTTAATTTGTGATTCTTTTCTAATTTTTCAAGGTGGAAGTTTAGATCACTGGTTTTTAATATTTTTATTATTATTCTTTTCTTATATAGGCATTTAAAGCTAGAAAATTCCTAATAAGTGCTGTTTTAGTTGCATTCCACAAATTTTAAATACATTTTATTATGATTTTGTCATTTCAAAATACTTCCTAATTTATTTGTTTGATTTATTCTTTCACCCAGAGATTATTTAAAATTGTGTTCTTTAATTTTCAAATAATTGCAATTTTTCTTTTTATATTATAATTCATTTCTAATTTATTTCATTTTGGCAAAATAATAGACTCTTTCAGATTTTAATCTTTTTACATTTATTGATCCTTGTTTCATTGCCAGTATATGATCTATACTAATAAAATAAAACACGTGTACTTAGAAATAATATATACCATACTTACCAGATGTATGCTATTTAAATATCAACTAAATCAAAGTAAATATAGTGTTGTTCTGATCAAAGAAGTGTCTATTTCTGTGTTCCACTGATTTTGTGTTTGTGTCTCCACATACAATAATGATTTTTTCTATTTCACCTTGCAGTTCTACCAGTTTGATCTTATGTGTTTTGACACATTTTTCTTAGGTGCATACACATTGAGGATTATCATGTCTTCTTGGAAGATTGCTCTGTTTATGTAATGCCTCACATTATCGCTGATAATTTTCCATGCACTGAAGCCTGCTTTGTTATTATAACTACTCCATATTTCCTGTGAGTATTTCAGCATTGTATATCTTTCTCAATTTTTTAACTTTCAATTTATCTGTTTTCATATTTAAAGTGGATTTCTTGTAGGCAATATATATGCTGGTCATTTTTTCTTTATTAAATCTGACATTTTCTGTTCTTTAATTGGTGCATTTAGACCTTTAACATTTAAAGTAATTATTGGTATACTTGAATTATCTATATGTTTTCTATTTATTTCCATTTATGTATTTATTTAATTTTTCATTTATTTTCTGGCTTCTCTTGTTTTAATTGAGCATTTTATGGAATTCTCTTTTCTCTTCTCTATTAGTATACCAACTTATAACTATTTTTTTATTTCAAGTGATTGCTCTGCTAAGACTAGTTTTTTGCTAAGGTTTTTATATGTCAAAAAATATTTTGTTTTGCTTCACTAAGGATAGTCTTAACAGACATTTTTAAATCCTTGTCTGTTACTTTTAATACGTTGTTCATCTTAAGGTCAGAATTCACTGTGAATTTTTTCTGTTTGTTTTGTTTTGAGACATGGTCTCGCTCTGTCAAGTAGGCTGAAGAATAGTGGCTCAACCATAGCTTACTGCAGCCACTGTAGCCTTGACCTCCTGGGCTCAAGCAATCCTCCTACCTCAGCCTCCTGAGCAGCTGGGAATACATGTGTGTGCCACCGTGCCTAGCTAACTTATTATTTTATTTTGTGGAGACAGGATCTCACTATGTTGCCCAAGCTGTGATTTTATTTTCTTTAAGACAGTGTGCTGTTTTCTTGGTTCTTCATATATTGGGTAATATGATATTACAGATGTTAAGTTGTCTAGTTTCTGGATTTATTGTCATTATTATTTTTATTTTTTAATTATGTTTCTCTAACGAATATTCTATTTCTTGTTTTAGTAGGTTGGCTCTTTTTTTATTTGCTTCATTAGTTTCACATACGGATTCTTATCCAGTACTTCCAACTCCCTTCAAATTTCTGTTTTTATGTCTTTATTTAGGTTTATTAAAATCTGGTCTGCCTGTTAATGTTTCAATTGCCTTAATAGAGATGTGAGTAAACCATGTTTAGGGATCCCCTTTGTGGCTCTTTTTCTACCAAAATTCCTCCATTCTCTTAGGCTTCCTCAGATTCACATCTTCCCTTCACAGTGGAATACTATAGACTGTAATTAGCCCTAGGCCCTGGAGGCATGAACTGAGTTCTCTATCTGCCCTCATCCATGGTACATCCCCTATATGAGTCTTTCTGCCTCTTTTCACTCTCAATAACTCAGGTAGTTGCTTTTTAAAATTATTTCTAGGGTTTTGTTGACAAAAAGAGTCAAACTCTATAAAATATTTGAAGATATTTATTTTGAGCCAAATGTGAGTGACCAATGGCTTATGCCACAGCCTTCAGGAGACTGTAAGAACATGTGCCCAAGGTGGCCAGGCTACAGCTTGGTTTTATACGTGTTGGAGAGACAAAAGACATCAATCAATGCATGTAAGACATACATTGGTTTGGTCTGGAAAGGTGGGACAACTGGAAGCAGGGGCTTTCAGGTCATAGGTGGATTCAAATATTTTCTGCTTGGCAATTGGTTGAAGGAGATATTTTCTAAAGACCTGGAATCAATAGAAAAGAGTGTCTGGGTTATGATAAGCCATTATGGGGACCAAGGTTTTATCATGCAGATGAAGCCTCCAGATAGTAGACATCAGTAATAATAAATAGTAAATGTTTGTTACCAGACTTAAAGAGTCTGTTCTATCAGTCTCTGTGTTGATGTTAATGCTGGTCAGATGTACTGAATTCCAAAGGGGAGGAGGGCACACTGAGGCATGTCTGACTCTCCCTACTCATCATGGCCTGAACTGGTTTTTCAGGTTGACTTTGGAATGCAATTGACCAAGAAGAGGGGTCCATTGATATGGTTGAGGGGCTTAAGTTTTATTATTAGCTTATAGTTTGATATCATATCTGAATGCAGAAAACGTGGTCGCCTAATTTTTGACAAAACATCCACACACATTAAATGAGAAAAGCCTAAAATTTTTACCAAATGATGAAGAATAAATTGACTTTCTGCATGGAAAAAATAAACCTTGAACCAAAGAAAATATTTCAAAATTGTATATTAGATAAAGAAACCTGGCATCTAAAATGTAAAACAAAACGTTATAACTTTCTAAGAAGCCTAGGCAATAAAAAAATGGAGAAAATTGTTGAAAGACATGAAAGTTGTTTAGCTTGATTGTTCATCACAAAAATGCAACTAACAGCCATAATTTTATACGACTACACACAAACTAAAAAGGCTAAATTTAATAAGATTTATAATCTGAAGTGATAACAAGAAGGTGGAGCTACTAATTTCACATATTACTTCTAGAAATGCACAATGCTACAACTTATTTGTAGAATTGTGTATCAGCTTTGTATAAAGTTAAGTACACACCTACTATATTGCCCAGTAATTCCACTTTTAATTAAAATAAATGAAAGCACATATCATCAAAAGACTAAAATAACTACTCATAACAAATATTTCATAGTAGCTAAAAATATAAACAACTGCAAAATACACGAATAGGTGAATACATCAGTGAATATGGGTATAGTCACACGATAAAGTAATTTTCAACAATATAAGAAAATATTGATATATACAAACAACCTAGATAAGCTTTCAAATTATTATGTTGAACATTAGAACCAGACAAAAGAATATCTATGATGTTTTATTTCATTAATATGGAGTTCCTTTTTTTTTTTTCGTTTTTTTGAGATGGAGTCTCGCTCTGTCACCCAGGCTGGAGTGCAGTGACACAATCTCCTCTCACTGCAACCTTCCCCTCCCAGGTTCAAGCGATTCTACTGCCTCAGCCTCCCAAGTAGCTGGGACTACAGGCACATGCCACCATGCCTGGCTAATTTTTTTGTATGTTTAGTAGAGACGGGGTTTCACTGTGTTAGCCAGTATGGTCTTGATCTCCTGACCTTGTGATCCACCCGCATCAGCCACCCAAAGTGCTGGGATTACAGTCATGAGCCACCGCGCCCGGGCCAATATGGAGTGCTAGAAGATATAAAACAAACCTGTAGTGAAAGAAAGATTTGTGTTTGCCAGAAGCCATTGATTTCATTTAAATTTATGCATCACATATCAAAAATTTAACGTGATGTTAAACTTTTATTAGATCAAATTTCAGTTAAAATTTCTCTGTAAGGCTGGGCACGTTGGCTCATGCCTATAATCCCAGCACTTTGGGAGGCCAAGGCAGGCAGATCATGAGGTCAGGGGTTCGAGATGAGCCTGTCCAACATGGTGAAACCCCATCTCTACTAAAAATACAAAAATTAGCCAGGAGTGTTGGCAGGCACTTGTAATCCCAGCTACTCGGGGGACTGAGGCAGGAGAATTCCTTGAGCCTGGGAGGCAGAGGTTGCAATGAGCTGAGACTGTGCCATTGCACTCCAGCCTGAGCAACAGAGCGAGATTCCAACTAAAAAAAAAAAAAAATTCAGTGTGAAAATTTTATCCAGAGTTATATAAATTCTTATTGACCAAGTTATCAGTCTCTACCATGTGAACAGATAATTGAGAGTTGGATGTCCTAAATAACTTCTAATAGTTTCTCCAAAAATAAGGCTGTGTAGCAGGATAGAATCTGCAGGTTTTGGGACCAGGCATGGTGGCTCATGCTTGTAATCCCAGCACTTTGGGAGGCTGAGGCGGGTGGATCATTTGAGGTCAGGAGTTCGAGTCCAGCCTGGGCAACATGGTGGAACCCAACCTCTTTGTATTTTGTAAAAATACAAAAATTAGGCAAGTGTGGTGGTGTGCACCTGTACTCCCAGCTGC
Source organism: Homo sapiens (assembly GCF_000001405.40). NCBI lineage: Eukaryota > Metazoa > Chordata > Mammalia > Primates > Hominidae > Homo > Homo sapiens. Next base: position 89,590,569 of record NC_000023.11, on the reverse strand, counting down.
TCAGGAGGCTGAGGCAGGAGAATCACTTGAACCTGGCGAAGGTTGCAGTGAGCTGAGATCATGCCCCTGCACTCCAGCCTGGGCAACAGAGTGAGACCCTGTCTCAAAAACAAACAAACAAACAAAAAGAATCTGGACATTTTAAGATGATACTCTTCTTTCATATTATTTTTTTCTTTTTTTCACATATAAAATGAGCAACATTCATTACCCTTGGGGAGAGTGCAGGTAGAGCCAAGAATAAAAAGTCATTGCTCAGCAATGATTTTAAGATAGAGATTCTAAAGTCAATGACAGAGAAAATAGTCTGAAGGTCAGTACTCTTGATTTTCAGAGCCAAATTCTTGAGACAAAGTCTATTCTGAAATTTTAAAACATGTTTTGCTGATTAGTAGCTACCATCTAATATTGAATCACCCTTATATTCCTCAAATACATTCTACTTGTAGGGTCAAATGGAAAATTCCCCCTTCACCCTCTAAAAGTTCACTGAGAATCAACTGAGAAAAGGTAGACTAATAGGAGAGAAGACTTAAAGTGTATTAGTGTACATGGCAGAAGAGGGGAATCACGGATTGATTACCCTATCACCCAATGGCATACAGATGCTTATATCCATTCTTCTTAGGGAAAAGGAAGATGGGGAAGCATGGATGATTTTCAGAGGGCAGCAATTTTTTTTTTTTCAGGAAAATCCAATGGACTTGAAGAAAATACAATAACCTGGCAGAAGCTCTGTTGGGCCCATACAACAAACAATGGTTTATGACGAAAGTCTGAGCAGGTGTTTTGACAGCCTTCAGTTTTTCTTCCTGTGATATGAGTTCAGTTAATGAAACTCAGGGAACGGACCAGAGGTAATTGTTTTCTTCTTTGGAAATCTGAACTATAGGCAGAAAATAGAACTTCGGAGACTAACTTTATCCTGTGCTTTGGGAGTGATGGAAGATGGGTGGTGCGTAGAGGTGTGGAAGGTCAGAGAGACCTTGAAACTTCTGCTTCAGCATGTCAAAGCATCATATTACTTTGGGGCTATCAGTTACTGAGACCCAGCATTATATTGCTGGATTACATCTACTAAGTAGTTTAAAAATTTACATCTATATTGATAAGTGAAATTGGCCTATAGTTTTATTTCTGTACTATATTAAATTTTTAGTATTAAACTTACTGTGACCACATACACTATAGTAGAGAATTACTCGTCATTTTCTACCATCTCATAATATAATAAACATTTCAATAACCTATCCTTTTAAAGATTAGATGGAACTGATACATCTTTTAGTATCAGTTCTAGATTAGATAGAAAAGATACATCTTTTAGTGGCTCCCTTTTCAATAGAAAATTATAAATCAACTTTCTAATCTGTGCTGTGGTAATTGCTGAATTTAAGTATTTTTAAAGTTAACTTTATTGATATTTTTCTAGGAAATCATTCTTTTGTTAAAGGTGTCCAAATTTATTTTCATAGATGTGCATATATCAAATTCTTAAAAATGTTAAATTACTAGTTATGATTCTTGCCTTTTCTCATTTATATAATCAGCTATTTTAGCTTTTTTCCTCATAAATAATTTATCCATTTTACTAAACGATAAAAAAGAGAAAATTATTTCCACATACACATCCAATTCATTATATTTATTTATTTATTTACTGTTTAATTAACTTAATGTTATCTGTTATGTTAACTAATTCCTTTTTCTTTCTTTTGGTTAATTTTGTCATTTTTTTCCTAATTTCTCGAGAGTAGCAAACTCTTATTTTTTTGGTTTCTTCTTGTAATTAAAATAAAGTTTTAATTTTTTCTTTGAGAATTATATTTCATAACTTTGGATATAAGGTGTTTTTATCAATTCATGCTACATATATTTTTATATTTCACTTTTGATATTCTCTTTTATTGAAATTTTATAAGGATGTTTCAGATATCCACACAGTTAATGCTTTTTGTTTACACTTTTTATTATTGCTATTTTATTATTGTTTTCTGATTGTGTTGGATTATTATCATATATTGTAAGGATTTTATAATTTTCAGTTATATATTATATATATATTACTTTCAAATATACATATATGTATATTTTCAAATATACATAAATTATTTATTGCCAAGCATATGATTGATATTTTCACCAAATATTGCATGGATAGAGAAAAACATAAATATATCTAAATTAAGGTTGTAGTTGTGTTTTACATTTATTTTCTATGATGTTTGGGGTACACCAGACATGTGAAGGTGTTAGAAAAAATATGTCCCCACTAGTTTACATAGCGTTGCAGTCACATATCTTTATGGATTGATTAAGATTCATAATAACATAGGACAAAGCACTCTGTACTCCAGCATGAGCTGGATCTCAATCCCCATATATGTTTGCAGCCAATAACTTATGTAGTGAACCCTATGTACAACCAGAAATGGCAGCCCTACCTGACTTATAATTGTCAACTTATGATTTAACAAAAATGGCTCATTTTATCATAATGTAATATCTGATGTCTAAGATAAACATTTTCACTTGTGCTTTCTTTTTCTCTGCATTTTTAGGTAGTAATTTAAGACATTTATTTTCAAACTTCTTTTAAAATGTATTTTACTCTTTTCACTATTCTTTTAGGTTCAGAAATACATGTGCAGGTTTTTCATACAAAGAAATTGTATATTGTGGAGGTCTGATGAACATATTATTTCATCACCCAGGCAATATACATAGTACCTGATAGGTAGTTTTTCAATCCTCACCCGCCAGCCACCCTCCACCCTCAAGTAGCCCCTGATTTCTATAGTTTCCTTCTTTTTGTCGCTGTATATTCAAAGTTTAGCTCCCAGTTATAAATAAGAACATGCAGTATTTGGTTTTCAATCTTGCATTAGTTCACTTAGGATAGTGGCCTCAGCTCCATCCATGTTGTTGCAAAGGACATGATCTCAGTCTTTTTATGGCTATGTAGTATTCCATAGTGTACATATACCACATTTTCTTTATCCAGTCTACCACTGTTGGGCATTTAGGTTGATTCCATGTCTTTGCTCTTGTTAGTACTGAAGCAGAAGTTAAAAAGGGAAAAAACAAATTTTCTTCCATTTCTTTGGTATGAGCAGCTTACCTCTTTAATCCCTCCCTGCTCCATGCCCTTGTACCCTGCTCTGCAAGTTTTTATGAGTTTATACATTCCTGTTTTCTGTAACTAGTGTCTGTAGCACCACGGAGGTCATGAGAAATGCTTGAGCAAGCTTAGATTTCAGCCATCTGGGCTCCATTGAGAAAGACATGAAATAAGATTGTGCAAGCATCTTGAGCAAGCCTAGATAACAGCCACATGGCCCGCATAGCAAGAGTCACATGAAAGCCTGAGTTAAGAGCCTGTCACTTTTTGTTAAACTGTCTTTGTTCTACCCGCTTTCAAGCCGCTGCATTTCACACCACAGATGCATGTATAAAAGTCAAGCCCTGTATTTGTCTGGGGCTCGGCCTTTTGGGTGCAATCCTGCTGAGCCGGTGCACCTAAATAAAATCCTCCTGTTCCACCCTATTGGTCTTTCCCGTCTCCTGATTCCCGCGACATTTTGGTGAGCCAGCCAGGAGTTGGAGACAACAGGTTTGTTTGCTGTCTCCTTTGCCTGTGGGTCTGGGGCCCCAAGCCGGGGGAGACCTATGACCTCAGGTGCTATCGTGGGAACTTAACCTGGAGAAGGGATTGGTTCTCCTGTGACCTGGTGCCCCTCCCAGTCTGCACAACGGAATGTAAGGGGCTTCAGGATGATTCCAGGGACAGTGTGCTACAGGACCATGGTAAGGTTTGGGGCCCAAGGCAGGACTCGTCCCATAAGGACAGAAAGGGAGCCTGATCACCTCCCGGGGGTGCGTTAAGTATTCTGACCTAGGGTGCGAGAGTGACTCGCAAAGTCAGATGAAACTTGCACCCGGGGTGTACTGAGTAGTTTGACCCAGGACACAAGAGTGGCCCACAGAGTCAGATGAAACCTACACCCCAACTAGCGAAGAGGAACTGGGAGTGGGGAAGTATGTGAATGCGTGTGAAAGAGGTGGTTCCAAAAGGAACCAATGTGGGGAGTGACGTGTGAGGCCGCAGGTCTCTTAGCATAGACTGTACACTCCGAGTGAATTGTGGGACCGACCGGGACTAGTGGTGATCCACATATGGCTTAGGGAGGTGGCCCACAATCTAGTAATTGTGGGGGTTAAAACGTAGCCTCCAATGCTAAGCAGCGTCTAAAGTACTCCCGCGAGAGGGACGGTCTAATCGGTATGAAGCGAAAGTGAGAGGGAGTGAATTGCACCGTAACTGGGAGGAAATGGGAGGGAAGTCGTCGAAACCCACCCTGTTAGAATGTATGTTAGAGAACTTTAAGAAAGGTTATGAGGGGACTATGGGATCAAGTTAACCCCCAGAGGTTGAGAACTCTCTGTGAAGTAGAATGGCCCTCTTTTAGTGTCGAATGGACGGCCGAAGGAACTATAGATAGGGAAAGAATTGGCCGTGTATTTAAGGTGGTGACTGTGGTCAGAGGACAGCCAGGGCATCCAGACCGATTTCCATATATTGACTCATGGCTAAATATAATTCAAACTCGACCTGTGTGACTGCAGCCCTGCCTGGCAGTGTATTGCAAAACGCTCGTAGCCCAAGCCGAGCCTATGTTGAAAGAAGGATCAACTTTACTGGGAGCTTTGGAGAGAAATAAAAAGCCACAGGAGAGTCAGGAGAAACTAGTTTTACAGGAACTACCAGAGGAGACAGAGATTCTTCCTCCTTACACTCCAATCTACCCCCCTTTACCGAGGCTGGCCCCTGAGGAGTTAAGCTCAGATGGTGGTAAGTCAGAGGCTTCACCCCAAAGGGATGCGTCCGAACTACTGCCTCAGAAATGCAGGGAGGGAAGTCAAAATGACCAAGCAGGCCTCCTCCAGTCTGGCCGCTCCCAAGCCTTACAAATGCCCTTCTGGGAAACTTGAGGATCCATCTATTATGATGAACAGGGCCAGGTACAAGGAGGGCAATGGACCTTCCTCTACCAGCCTTTCTCAACCACTGACCGCCTTAACTGGAAGCACCATATTCCCTCCTACACAGAGAAGCCCCAGGCCCTCATAGATCTGATGCAGCCTATTTCTCAAACACGTAATCCATCCTGGCCAGATTGCAAGCAACACCTCCTGACACTGTTAAATACCGAGGAGCTTCGGAGGCTGACCCAAGCACCCCTCCACTGGCTAGAAAACAAGGCACCCTTAATGTCCAGACATACACTCTGGACCAGTTCCCAGAAGCAGACCCACACTGGGACCCAAATGAGGCAGCCCAACTGTAGCAACTGCAGAGGTTCTGAGAGGCACTCCTACAAGGTTTGAGAGAAGGCAGGACAAAGGCACTCAATACGGGAAAGATTTCGGAGGTGCTTCAGAGAGCAGATGAAAGCCCTAGCCAGAGGCACCGAGAGGCACTCCTGCCAGGTTTGAGAGAAGGCAGGAAAAAGGCACTCATTATGGGAAAGATTTTGGAGGTGCTTCAGAGAGCAGATGAAGGCCCTAGCCAGAGGTACTGAGAGGCACTCCTGCAAGGTTTGAGAGAAGGTAGGAAAAAGGCACTCAATATGGGAAAAATTTTGGAGGTGCTTCAGAGAGCAGATGAAAGCCCTAGCCAGTTTTATGAGAGACTCTGTGAGACATTCTGGCTATACACACCATTTGACCCCGAGGCTAATGAGAACCAAGGCATGGTGAACACGGCATCTGTAGGACAAGCCCAGGGAGACATTAGGCGGAAACTACAAAAGCTGGAAGGTTTTGCAGGCATGAATGCCAGCTTTTGGAAGTAGCCACAAAAGTGTAAGTTAACCGCGACCAGGAGGCAAAAAGGGAAGCTGATCGGAGACTTAGGAAGATCATAAGTGATTTGCTGGCGGCAGCACTCACGGAGAGGAGAGTGAGTATCGCGAGAGGACGTGGACATGGGCGCAGACAAGGAAGGGGTCAAATCGGGAAAAGACCTGAGAATCAGGCAAGACTAGATAGGGACCAGTGTGTTTGGTGCAAGAGGAAGGGACACTGGAAGAATGAATGTCCAGAGGGCAATGAGGGAAAGGACGAAGGCCATAGGGCTAGAAGACTGCTAGCCAAAGGAGGCCGCATTCAGAGGGAGCCAGACACTGACCTTATCCGGCTGGCAGGAACTGAAGGGTATGAAGATTAGGCAAGACCGGGCTCCATCTCCTTAGGCTGCCAGGAGCCCATGGTCATGGTGAAAGTAGGGGGCCAACTGATGGACTTTATGGTAGCCACTGGGGCTGAACACTCGGCAGTGACATGGCCTGTGGGGCCACTATCCAAAAATTATGACTATCGTTGGGGCTACAGGGGTCCCAGAGAAAAGGCCATTCTTCTGGCCCCAGAGATATGTCATAAGGGGACTAGAGGTCCAGCATGAATTCCTATACCTCCCGAATTGCCCAGTTCCCCTGATAGGAAGAGGCTTACTCGAAAACTGCAAGCCCAGATTGCTTTCAGGCAGCAGGGGAATATGACTTTAAGCCTGCCCCACCCAGAAGCAATGGTGTTAACCCTTACCGTCCCACAGGCAGAGGAATGGAGACTGTGCGCAAAAGGATTGCTAAAGCCAGAGCTAGATGAGCTGTATGGGTTGCCTAGTAAAATTCCTGGAGTGGGCTGAAGATAAGCCCCCTGGACTGGCTGGAACCAGGCACCAGTGACAGTAGAACTAAAACCGGGGGAAATTCCGGTTCGGGTTTGTCAATACCCACTTTCCCAAGAAGCCGTACAGGGCATTCAAGGGCATTTGAAGCGGCTATTGGAACACAGGGTCTTGGCCCAATGCTGGTCACCATGGAACACTCTGCTTTTGCCAGTGCGGAAACCAGGGACTAATGAATACAGACTGGTGCAGAACTTGCATGCTGTAAACCAGGCTACAGTGACCATCCACCCAGTAGTACCAAACCTGTATATTTTAATGGGACTCATTCCTGCAAATGCTGCTTGGTTTACTTGCCTAGACTTAAAAGATGCCTTTTTGTTTCCTTGCCTAGCACCAAGTAGTCAGCCCATCTTTGCATTTCAATGAGATGATTCAGTCACGGGCACAGGGGAGCAGCTCACCTGGACTAGGCTCCCACAAGGATTCAAAAAGTCTCCCACAATTTTGGGGGAAGCGCTGGCCCCAGAACTCAAGGTCTACACCCCGCAAATAATAACTGTGCCTTGCTCAACTATGTAGACGATCTCCTTTTAGTAGCACCAACCCGTGAGGACTGTTACCAACGAACCCAAGACCTCCTCCACTTCGTATGGAAAGCTGGTTATAAAGTATCCAGGAAGAAAGCCCAATTTGCCAGGAAAGGGTTAAATATGTAGGCTTCATAGTGAGTCAAGGGGAACGCTGGCTTGGCAATGAATGAAAACAGGCTGTGTGTGCACTCCCAACCCCAACCAATAGGCGTCAAATAATAGAATTTGTCATATCTGGAACCCAAACTTCTCACTTATGGCTAAGCCCTTATATGAAGCCACAAAAGGTGGAAAGTGAGCCCCTCCTCTGGGAAACTGACCAAGAAAAGGCATTTAAACAGATCAAGGAGGCTCTAACTCAGGTCCCGGCCTTAGGACTGCCAGATATAACTAAGCCTTTTCACTGTATGTTCATGAACGAAAGGGAATGGCTATAGGGGTCCTGACTCAAGTCCTAGGATCTTGGCACTGCCTGGTAGCCTACTTATCCAAACAGCTGGACTCTGTAGCTTGGGGATGGCCCCCCTGTCTTAGGGCTCTAGCTGCCACTGCCCTGCTAACGCAAGATGCTGACAAATTGACTTTGGGACAATTGACTATCCGCACTCGGTTATGACTCTAATGGACCAGCGAGGGCACCATTGGCTATCAAATCTGAGAATGACTCGGTATCAGGGGCTCCTATGCGAGAATCCCCACATAACTTTGGAAACAGTAAACACCCTTAACCCAGCCACCTTGTTCCCAATTGAAACGGGAGCTCCCCTCCATGACTGTGTGGAAACAGTAGATGAGGTATTCTCAAGTTGGGGAGATCTCACAGATTGCCCCCTTGGAGACCCAGATGTTGAATACTTCACAGATCGAAGCAGTTTCATATTGGAAGGGGTCCAATGGGCAGGGTATGTGGTGGTAACATTGGACTCAGTGGTGGAGGCCCAGCCCCTGCCCACCGAAATGTTGACCCAGAAGGCAGAGCTAATAGCCCTAACGAGAGCTCTTTTGCTAGTGAAAGATAAAAGGGTTAACATTTATACTGACTCCAAGTATGCCTTTGCCACATTGCATGTACATGGAGCTATATATAAGGAGAGAGGACTTTTAACTGCTGGAGGAAAAGAAATAAAGTACAAAGAGGAAATTCTACAGCTCTTAGAAGCTGTGTAGGCCCTGAAGAAGGTAGCTATTATGCACTGTAGAGGGCACCAGAGGTCAAGAACACTAGAGGCCAAGAGAAACGGAAAGACAGACAGGGAAGCAAGACAGGCAGCAACGACTACTGCACACTCTAGAAAGGAAGCCCTGGTTATCCCTCTCCTCCCGGAGCCTCCCCTCGGGAGATTCCAAGTTACTCTCCAAGTGAGAAGGCCTGGTTTGCCCAAGAATCTGGAAAATATATTGAGGGAGGATGGTGAAAATTCTCTGATGGGAGACTAGCCATTCCTGAAATGCTGGCCCCTAAATTCGTAAGGCAATTCCACTAAGGAACTCACATGGGGAAAATGGCACTAGAAACACTACTGGGACGCCACTTCTATGTGCCACGGCTCACTGCCATCACCCAAGCCATTTGCAAACAATACCTAACTTGTGCCCGGAACAACCCACGACAGAGGCCCACCAGGCCCCCGGGATTCAGGAAATAGGGGCCGCACCCTGTAAAAACCTGCTTATGGATTTCACTGAGTTGCCCCAAGTGGGGGACTATCAATACCTGCTGGTGCTCATTTTCACCTTCTCGGGATGGGTCAAGGCTCTCCCCACCCGAACAGAGAAAGCACGAGAGGTGACTAAAGTGCTGTTAAGAGACATTATCCTCAGATTTGGATTGCCCCTGACTTTGGGGTCAGACAAAGGACTGAGATTTGTAGCCGAGATAGTTCAGGAACGAATGCGGCTGTTAAAAATAAAGTGGAAATTACACACTGCCTATCGATCGCAGAGCTCAGGAAAAGTGGAGAGCATGAACCAGACACTCAAATAGCTACTAAAGAAATTTTGCCAAGAAACCCATCTGAGATGGGATTAGGTCCTGCCCATGGTCCTCCTCCAGGTCAGATGCACCCCCACCAAACAAACTGGGTATTCACCCTATGAGATCTTGTTTGGCTGGCCACCCCCCATCATAGGTCAGATTAAGGGTGACCTCCGAGAACTAGGGGAACTGACTTTGAGAAGGCAAATGCAGACTTTAGGGATAGCTATGCAGGGTGTCCATGGCTGGGTATGGGAAAGAATGCCCATAAGCCTGAGAGACCCGGTACACCCCTTCAAACCTGGGGACTCTGTTTGGGTCATGAAATGGAATCCAACCACTCTAGGGCCCATATGGGTTGGGCTCCATACTGTAATCTTGTCCACTCCCTCTATTGTTAAAGTTGCAGGAATTGTGCCTTGGATCCATCACAGTTGGTTAAAACCAGAAATCCAGGACAAGTGGACCAGCCAGCAGAACCCAGACCATCCAAGCCGGCTGATCCTGCGACGGGAGCCAGTTGCCACTGAGGACAACAGCCCTGCTCTGGTCAGTCCGGAAGCTGACCAGTCTACACATGGCTGAAGCTTGAGGAGGCAACAGCCCTGCTCTAGTCACCCCAGAAGCTGACTAGTCTACGCATGGCTGAAGCTGGAGTAAAGTAATGTGGTTGGAAATCTTAAGTCCAATAGCCTTCCTGATAATACTAATTGTTTTACTATTTATTCTGTCGCTTTGCTCAGCCTCCTCCCCCGGGTAAAGACTCCTTTTGTCCCTGCTGGGTATAAAGATGCTACTCTTTACTTTGTTCCTACTCCTCCCCATTAGGGCACTCCCTTTACCTGTGTCTGGGGATGGGCCCATAGAAAGGTGCCCCCACTGCACTCACACCACGTAGTCGGAGAGCACAGTAACTAGAACCCTGTTATATCACACTTACTATGAATGTACAGGGACCCACCAAGGTACCTGTATTCACAATCAGATGACCTACTCAGTCTGTGACCTGGGAAACGACCAGCCTTATATATGTTATGACCCTAAGTCCTCACCTTATGAGTCCATTTGGTTTAAAGTCTATGTCAGGCTAAAAGAAGAGAACTTCCTAACCCTAACCAAAAAGATCCCTCCCTCCTACAAGGGGCCTATTTCCTCGTATTTTGATGCCTGCCAAGCTGCATACGTCAGCAACTCTTATCCTGTAGTCTCTTGTGACAGCCTGTCATGGGAAAGATACTATAGTAACTGTCACAAGTATATATGGACACCAAGGAGAGGAACCTCTCAAGAGAAGACCCCTCTTTGCTCCCCCAGGTCTCCAGAAATAGACTGTTAGGCCTGTACAACATGGTCCACTGACCCTGTGGAAAGTCACGAATGAACACAGGGGACAGTCAGGCTTACCAAAATGCCAGCGAAACCATAATATAAGATAAGAACCTGCAGTCCTTTAAATTTTACCATCCTGGAGCCAAATCTGCCCATATGGACTACAGGTTACCCCATGACATTACAGATCTGCAGTCAGGGAACAAACCCAGGAGTCTATTTATATATTAGCAAAAAGCCTCAGACCCGTCCAGCCCAACAATTCCTAGTATTTGAGTCATTTTATGAGCATATCAACCAGGAGTTGCCTGAGCCCTCCCCTTTGTCCAGAAACCTATTTGTTCAACTGGCTGAAAGTATTGCCAGCAGCCTAGGCGTCTCCTCATGCTATGTCTGTGGGGGGACCAACATGGGGGACCAATGGCCATGGGAGGCAAGGGACTTGATGCCCCATGATAACTTCACTCTGGTGGCTCCTTCCCCCAAACCCATGCTCACAGGTCGGAGCATCTGGCTGTTAAAAACCTCTATTGTCGGGATGTTCTGCATTGCCTGCTGGGGAAAAGCCTTTACAGACCCAGTAGGATAATTAACTTGTCTGGGACAACAGTATTATAATGAGATACTGGGAAAGAGTTTATAGAGGGGAAAAGGGAATGATTCCCAATCACCCCACCCGGGCCCATTCTCTCGTTTCCCCTCCTTAAACCACTCTTGGTACCAGCTTGAAAATCCAAATGCCTGGCAGGCACCCTCTGGCCTTATTGAATCTGTGAACTATGGGCATATTGGCTGCTGCCAGCCAAATGGACAGGGGCCTGTGTTCTGGGAACAATCAGGCCATCCTTCTTTCTAATCCCTCTAAAGCAAGGAGAAGCCTTAGGGTACCCCATCTATGATGAAACTAAGAGGAGGACTAGAAGGGGTAGACTAGAATGTAGAGTGGAGCTTATGACAAAATATTATATGTGCTTCCAGGGGCAGCTCCTTGGACTTTGCTCTAGAGAATCTCCATTTGGTTGGGGAGTGTGGAGGCAATTACTAGCTTGCAATGGGGGCATTAACTGAGCAATGACCTACACAATGTCTCTCTCTCAGGGAAATAGAGAATCATAAAAAGATTGGCCTCTCAGATGCAGATAAAAGGGACCTTGGCCAGGTGCGGTGGCTCACACCTGTAATCCTAGCACTTTGGGAGGCTGAGGTGAGAGGATCACTTGAACCCAGGAGTTTGAGACCAGCTTGGGCACCATGGGAAAACCCCATCTCTACAAAAATTACAAAAATTATCTGGGTATGGTGGCATGCACCTGCAGTCCCAGCTGTTAGGGAAGCTGAGGTGGGAGGATCACTTGAGCCCCATGAGGCTGAGGCTGCAGTGAGCCATGATTGTGCCATTGCACTCCAGCTGGGGTGACAGAGTGAAACCCTGTCTCAAAAAAAATAAAAAAGGGACTTTACCTATCTCAGCTATGAACTGCTTTGGATGAAGGTTGCAATAATCTCTTCTGACAATCCATGGCCATAAATCAAGCCTCAATTGAGTTGGGGGCCTAAATTAATATTATCTTTCATGTCTAACGCCATGCAATATGAGGGCTTTTATTTAAATTGGAGTCAGATCTGCGTCTCCCTGTCATCTGGCAAAAAAAAAAAATTATAGAAGAAAACATATTTTTTAAAGGTTTTAAAGTATGCTCATCTATAAAATTGTATCCAGTGAGTTCATAATCTATAATCACTACACAACATCGAAAATATTTGAGTGAGACTTCTGATTATTCTCATTATATTTCTGTAATCCTCATTATTCTGATTGTGTTGGAAATAATGTTATTCTAAAAACACTTGCTTCAACAGTGAGGTCACTAAAGATTGATGAGGAATAGTCTAAATTCATTTCCACTAACACTTTTCTTATCCAGGTGATTTTCATGCCAAAATTTGCTCGGAGGCTACAAAATATGGGCTCTTTAGATTTACTCATATAACTGTTACCACAGGAGATAAACTTGCTTCTTGGAGGGAAAGTTTCAGTGTTTATGATATTAGTTTATAATTACTTTTTCTCATTATGACACAGTTTGAAATAGGTTCTACCCAACTCTCTAGTCATTTCTGCTCTTTGAGACATTTGTTTCAGGGATCCCCTGCTATTTTCTACTACTAGAACTTATTCCCATAGCCCATGCTTGTTAACAAGGACAGGAGCCAGTAATTTATGAGAGATTTTCAGTCTATTGGAAGAAATTTCTTTTATCCTACAAAGTTTTCAGTCTTAGGGCAAAAGTTAATTTTTCTTTCTTAGAAGCCATCAAGCTCAAAATATCAAAGATATTTGTTGGTACATCTGCTGATAATATAAATTGATAAAACCAGACAAGCAATTTGAGAAACATATTAATAATATTTGAACCAGTTATTCTTTTGGAAATATTTAATTGGGAATATTTGAAATATTCTAATAATATCTAATAATATTTGAACCAGTTACTCTTTTGGAAATATTTAATTGGGAATATTTCAAAGGTGGGCAAGTATTTTTAATTGTAACATTTTTTTCTGTTTGTTTGTTTGATTGTGTGTTTTAAGATGGCTTTGCTATGTTGTCCAGGATGGTCACAAACTCCTGGTGTAAGAGATCCTCCCACCTCAGCTTCCTCAGTAGCTGAAATTACAGGAACATGTCACCAATCTCTAATTGTAGTATTTTACAATAATATTTACAACAGAAAAATTAAAAAAAAATATGCCACATTAACACTTTATAATATAATGTAGCTTCTAAAAAAACGGTTTTTAAATAATAGTCAATAACATGACAGAATTCAGACTAAAATATTTATTAAGCCAAAAAACAGGATACAAATCTACTTTCAAAAATACAATCCCATTATTTTTACGATGGTAGATAAGAGGCGTTGCTAGCATACCTCTCCCACTTGCAAGGACAAAATAATTTGTAGAAATTCACGGTGTAAATTTTTTTTACAAGAAGCAGTGTAGGAACTGAACAGGAAAACCGAAGAAATTTATGGACACTTTGAAGCAAGTAGGAGGCTGCAGCCTACAATGTGAGTCAGATGAAGGACTGCCAGTCCCCAGGGTGTGAGACGGGGAGAGTTTGCCTCCAGGATACACACTCCCACAGGGTCCCTGAAAGTCCAGGCCACTGGGGAAGGCCCTAGTTCCACCCAGTGCAGGAACTGACTTGGGGAAGGTTGCGGAATACGACATTAGGAGCAGTTATGGGAAGACCCTTGCGTGCACTCCCAGATTCCAGTGTGGGCTGAGGGCAGTCATTCCTTACTGTTTCTCAGAAAGGACCCTGCGGAGAACAGCAAAAAATTTCAAGTAGTTGTCACAGGTTGAAAGAAACTCCTAACAGGGTTTCATGATATAACCTTGGGTGGGGATAAATTCCCTTGGCCAGGGCCAAGGTGACAGAGAGAGTAAAGCAGGCTGTGAGTGCAGGAGTACCAAGTGCAGGAGGCAGGAGCTCAACTTTTCAGCTGACAGCCTGGCCTGAAAGCTGCGGTTTCTATCTCCCCACGGAAAACTTAGGACTACTAGCAGTGGTGAAGTCTGATTAAAGGCTGACTGGAACTCAGCTCACTGCTCCCAGTGGAGCACTGCAGGTGTGGATCTGCCTCACCAGGTATGTGGCAACTCTGTGGGGCTTACTGCAGCCTGCTACTCCCCATTCACTGCACAAAAACTTCTGTGCAGTAGAGGCATCAATATTCCTCTCTGAAACATCAACCCACTGGCCTGAGACCCGCTCCTGTTAACCATGGAGGGTGTTCAGGTTCTTGGCGTCTTGAACAAAGAATTGGACAAAATGCACAAAGAAAGGAAAGAATGAAGGGTTTTGTTGAAAATGAAGGTGCACTCCACAGTGTGGGAGCAGGCTGGAGCATAGGGGCTCAAAGGTCCCGTTACAGAATTTTGGGGAGTTTAAATACCCCCTAGAGGATTCCATTGGTTACTTTGGGTTCGCCCTATGTAAATGGAGAGGATGAAGTAAAGTTACAAAATAATTTAAGGCATACCCCTATGGAGAGAGTATTACCTGTTATAAGTGAAGTGTGAGTCGGCCTATGTTTCCTGCCTCCAGACCCTATTTTCCTGCCTTACTCTCATCCTCGCAAACCCACAAGTGTTGCTGCTTTCACTGTACATGAAAATCCAAAGTGCAAATGGTGTTGACCCAACCTCTACCTAGCTTTGCCCCACCACCCGCCCTGGTAGCTTAACACAAAATACAGAATATTTTGAGAGCTTCATGGCCCTGCCAATTGCCTGAGAAACCAGAATACCTCCTTGGGCAATTAAGGAAGCAAAAATCAAACTGTTTTTACGGTAGCTAGTGCTCTTTTCTAGGCACCACCTCCTGGCTGGAGGCCAACGAACACAGTCCATTACAGTTTCTCCTGGCATAATAACACTGTACCCAGGAAGAACAAAATGCTTGTGTGATCTCAGCTATCACCACTGCCTGCGCCACTTTGGCCAACCAGGAGGTCCTGAGTCTGTCCATGTGACCAGTTCATTATACTATAACTGAAGTTCAAGAAAGCCAAAACACTAAGGCTATCAATAACCAAGGAATTTCACAGAGTCTACATCAGTTCCCTGTAACCCCCATTAGAGCTTGTGCTGCTATCTACTGTTGGGAAACTTGAGGACAGGTCACATCACCGGATCCTTGCAGACATTCTCC
Source organism: Homo sapiens (assembly GCF_000001405.40). NCBI lineage: Eukaryota > Metazoa > Chordata > Mammalia > Primates > Hominidae > Homo > Homo sapiens. The sequence goes on along the minus strand of NC_000023.11, from coordinate 89,575,261 downwards.
AGTACCAGCCTGAAGTGTTGCAACTTCACTGGGCAGCTAGACCCAGAAGAACGACAACACTCACAGTAGTCTGACTCCTAGGAACTCCCAGTCCTAGGTGAAGGGGGAGTATATCATAAGGGAAAGCCCTGTGGGACAAAAGAATCTGGATGGCAGGCCTTGAGAAACAGATCTATCCCCTGGTAGAAAGCTTCTTTTAGCAGAGGTACAGCTGCAATGTTTTAACTCAGAAGGGAAAGTCTTCAGCTCTATCCCAATACAGACAGCCCTGGTGTGCATGAAGGGTCTTGAGGAAAAGGAAGTCTTTCTTCTTTTGCTCACCACTGTAGTCACAGTTGGAGCTTCCCCCAGGTGTGTTCTGTGTTGGTGCAACTACAGACCACCTTTCTGGAACACGTAAGGGGTGACTGCATCCCCACAGGAAGAGCACCCTCCAGGTTCAGCCTTGCATGAGAGAGAATCACAATTTCACTCTACTTGGAATATGAACATTCCTATAGATAAAAAGGGGTGCCTGTCTGATCTGAATAGTCATAGGACTGGGACAAGAGTGTGTTTGAGAGGTGGACCTTCCTGCTGATCTGGCGGGGAAGCTAAGGTGGCTCCAACCCTTCCCCTTGATAAGACCTCGGTGCAATTCATTGAAAGCTCTTCCAGCCACCTCTGACAAGGCTGATATTTCACTTAGCCACGTGCTTTAGCTGCAACCAATTTCTACTCAGGGATATGTCCTCTACTGGCCTGAAGTCTGAAACATCAAAAAAGTACATAAAATACTGAGGTAAAATAAATAAATAAGGAGTGCATGCCACGGGGTAATGCGATAAGCTTTAAGAGAACTTTACCCTTCTAACCCCATAGGAGATAGTAAACTTGCTCATATACCAAGCACATTGCTACTACAACCAGAATATGAGAAAGCCATCATACAAAGACTCTCTATAACCAAAGAACTTTTACAATCTTCACCCCTGAAAGCACCAAGAACCGAATTAGGCTATAATTTACCATAAGCATTAAAGTATCGTCATTAAGAAGAAAAAAAGATTTAAAAATAAAACGAAACAAAAATCCACAGTAAAATCAAACATAAGTTCAAGAATAATTAGAGGGAAATAGTCTACCTGAATGAGAAGGAACCAGAAAAATAATTCTGGTAATATGACAAAATAAGATGCTATAACACCCCCAAAAGATCACACTAGCTCTCCAGGAATGGACTCAAACCAAGAAGAAATCTTTGAAATACCACATAATGAATTCAGAAGGTCAATTATTAAGCTACTCAAGAAGATATCAGAGAGAGGTAAAAACCACCATAAAGATACTTAAAAAGCAGTTTGGCATATGAATGAAAAAATTTCTAGAGAGAGTGATATCATAATTTAAAAAATACAGTCAGAACTTCTGAAAATGAAAGACACACTGAGGGAATTACAAAATGCAGTAGAAAGTTTTAAAAATAGAGTAGGACAAATAGAAGAAAAAATTTAAGCGCTCAAAGACAAGTCTTTTGAATCAACCCAATCAGACAAAAATTAAAGAAAAAAGAATCAAAAGAAATTCACAAGGTCTTCAAGAATATGGAATTATGTAAAATGGCCAAATCTAAGAACAATTAATGTTCCTGAGGCAAAAGAGAAAATAATAAATCTGAAAAACTTATTTGAGGGAATAATTGAGAAAAACTTTCTTGTCCTGGCTAGAGATCTAGATATCCAAATCCAAGTAGCTCGAAGAACTCCTGAGAAGTTCACTGCAAAAATATCTTCACCAAGGCATATAGCTGTCATGCTATGTACGGTAAACATGAAAGAAAGACTTCTAAGATCAGCAAAACAAAAGCCTCTGATAACCTGCAAAGGAATACTTATCAGACTAACAGCAGACTTCTCAGCAGAAACCTTACGAACCAGATTGGGGACCTGTCTTCAACCTCCTTAAACAGAACAACTGTCAGTCAATAATTTTGTATCCCACAAAACTAAGTTTTATAAACGAAGGAGAAATAAAGTAATTTTCAGACAAATGAATGCTGAGTGAATTTGTTATTACCAAATCAACACCAAAAGAAATGCTAAAAGAAGTTTGAAACTATGAAGACAAGGTGGTATATATACACCATTGATTACTACTTAGCCATTAAAAGGAAAAGGATAATGTCTTTTGCAGCAACTTGGATGGAAATGGAGGCCATTATTCTAGGTGAAGCAACACAGGGTCTGTAAACCAAAAGCTGTATGTTCTCACTCCTAATTGGGAGCTAAGCTGTCAATATGCAAAGGCGTACAGAGTGATATAATAGATTTTAAAGACTCAGAAGGGGGAGGGTGGGAGGGGAACTAGGGATAAAACACTACGCATCAGATACAATGTGCACTACTTGTGTGATGGGTGCACCAAAATCTTAGAATTCACCACTGTATAATTCATCCATGTAACAGAAAATCACTTGTACCCCAAAAGCTGTTGAAATAAAATAAAATAAAAATAAAAATTATATAACCCCAATTATAGATTTTGATTTATGAATCGTTACAGGTTTTTGTGCCTTTATTTTCTAAAATAATAAAAATGTGTTATATTTTTAATCAAAATACTTTAACAAATAAAATTCATGTAAAAATACTGTAAATAACTTACATTTAAAAAATAGGGTTATAATTCACATACTTTTTAAAATTGTAATTATACTATGGGTATTTTTTCAGATTTTACATATAAACTCTGAATGCATGCTTAGAAAGGCATGATAAAATAGTTCATATTACACCATAGCCACAAAACAAAGAAACTCATTCTGCTGTAATATATAATAAATATGTATTTTGAAATGTATTCTAGAAGTAGCCAAATTATATTCTACTATGGCACATAGTGTGCAATTATATTCCTCACACTAGAATATATGCTTTTTATAGAAATTTAATCTTATGCTAAAACAAATAATTTATTATATCTAATTTAAAAAAAATACCTGTCTAAAGCAGTGGTTCTATTTCTAGCTGTGAAATGAAATCACCGAGGTTTATTATTTTTCAAAATACCTAGCCTTTACCTCCAGATATTTTGTGTTAATTAATCTGGGTGTGAGGACCTGAAATCAAATACTTTTAAATTTAACCCCTTCACCAGACTTATTTTGATATGTGTGCAGAATTCAGAACCACTAGTCTGGAACTTCTTACTCCTCTTAACTGTTGTTTCTGCTTGCCCAAAAGAAAATGTGGCCAAAATTTCAAAGGGGGGTGGTAGAAGAGTAATAGGGAGAGAGTGGCCAATGTTTACAGTTATACTTAGGAGAAATAAGTTCTGGTGCTCTATTTGCACAGCAGGGTGCCTATTGTTAACTATACTGTATGGTGTAGTTCAAAATAGCTAGAAGATAGAATTTTGAATGTTATTACCACAAAGAAATGGTAACTGTATGAGATGATGAATATGCTAAATATTCTGATTTGATTTTATACAATGTATATATGTATGGAAACATCACAACGTACTCTATAAATATAAACCATTATAATGTGTCAATAAAAACAAAATTAGAAAAAAGATCTAGGGGGGGAGGTAATGTATTTTACATTCAAGCTATTCATTTACAATTACGTTAGTTACAATTTTCCCCTAATGCTACTAAAAAAAAAGAGAAAGAAATGCATTTATAATTACTTAGATATATTTAAAAACTTAAACTTTTCTTGACATTTTGTTCACTTAATTTATGACACATTATTTTTATAGCATGTTAAATTTGTTTATTCTTTAAGGTAAATTCTCCAGATTTGTGTCAATTACATCTGCTATTATACAGATTATATAGCTCTACTTTTTAGTTGAATCTTAATCCACTTTTAAATAACTGTGGCACTAGGAAATAAAAATCTAAAATGAATAAACAAAAAAAATTGAAGTAACCGGACATTAAACTATTTGGATTGCTTCTGATTAATCAATACTATTTTATCTGTTTCTATACTGAAATTTTCTAATAATCAGTTAAACTCTTCTTATTTGAAAGAAATTTCTGGGAGGGAAGAGTTAATGGACAACATGAACTAGCCGGAAATGAAAAATAAGCTTCAAATTTTTCTTTCAAAGATGAGAAACTGGCAGTTTGATGAAAATTGTTTGCATAGATTAGATAGGTATAAAATCAGGCTTCCAGATATTAACTTGCAACATAGTCTGTATATAATCCATTTTATTTCTGCTCATTTTCGCATAATTGAAAGCAATTCACTAATTAACAATGTTCTTGATCCAAAGAATCTTAAAAGATCATTAATACATTAATGATTAATACATTTTTTACTAAAATGTTAGAAATCACCTGAACAAACTAGATGCATAATTTTATACTAATTTATTAAAATATAAGTTAAATTTTCTAAAACAAAAATTTGTAGAACTTAAGATGACCCCAAACTTCCATAAATCAACAATAATCAAGTTTAATCTTTCAGCTTGAATTTTGAGATTAAAAAACAATATACCTAGTGCCTGTCTCATCATGTTACATGTAAACAAAATACTTATAAACCCAAGCTCTGTCACTTTTGTGCAACGTTGAACTATGCGCCCAGTTGACAGATAATATGGACTCCCCATGCCTCACCGAGGTGCTCCAAGTTAAACAGAATTAGGTGGCCATGGCTGGGTGAGGGAATGGTCACCCACTCTGTGTTCTCTGAAAGATGTAAAAGTGTCAATGAACCTACCTTTTCACAATGAAGCCAAACTAATTCTTGTTGTCAATCTTGAGATAGACTGCAGCTGGATATTTCTCAACTGATCACCAACAGACTATCTCCTGTCAACAAATTAATCGCCTGAAACCAGTCAATTAAGAAAGACTGATGAGTTTGGGCTTAAAGCTCATCCAGTCAAAACATTCTATTTCTCACTCTCCTAACTCCCTTCTCTTGCCCTACTGTTTGTGCCTTTATAAGCTCTAACTCTGCAACCTCTCCTCAGAGCACATTTTCAGTTTGCATTGAAGGTTGTATCTCCCCAATCTGCAGACTGCTTATAGAAAATATAGCTCTTCTTTTTTTCTCTGCAGATCTCATGGTCTTTTGTCAAAATTGAAACGAAACATCAGGAATGCAGAATATCAAGAATTCTGGTTATTTTTTGGCATCAAAGTGTATTTAACATCTTATAACAAGAAAGATAAAAGAAAAGCTCAATGACATTTCATTACCACTAAAAAAAAAAAAAAGAAATAGTTACCAAACTTACATTATCCCAAATGTCTCTCCAGGGGCCAGTTACATCAGGATCATCACTCCAGAGAGCCTGTTAAAATAGATACTTCAAAGAATTTAGATTTAGTAGAGCTAAGAAACTAACATTTGTAACACATTCATTAGGTGTTTGTGCTGATATGCAGAAAGGTTGGAGAACACCTGAAACCTAAATCTTATCTCTGAAATATGTACATCTTTCTAAAAAATAAGAAGGAAAAATTATTCTGTCATACACAATATAAACTGATGATATTAAAAATATATGAAAGATTTTGGGGCCATTTTTCCACTGCCTTTAAATTGAAATTATTTTCTCTCTCTCATTCTCTCTTGTCTTCTTTATCTCCTTCATAATTGGCATAGTAACCATCAAATATTTGCTTTGGTCTCACAATGTAGTCCATCTAACACCCTGAAATTCTATTGCTATTGCTATTCTGGGGGGTGTGTGTGGTGGATGCGGATGCACACACACATATATACACACATATATAGATATACACATACCCATATATACATACATATATACATAAATATATATAGAGAGAGAAAGAGATAGAGACAGACAAGACAGACTTTTTGTCTTATTTCTGATTATTAGCAACTAGAATTTTATTAACATAACCTCATGTAAGAGTCATAACTATCACTTTCTCCTTTGCCAAAGATTTGTAGCCTCAGATTTTATGTTTCTGAAGGATCATCATCGGTATTATTTCCATTAACAAGAGATAAGTTATCAGAGAAAGGAGAAATGTAGTTAGGCAGAATACAAAGGATAACATGCCATTATGGGAAACCAAAAATATTTTACCCCAAAGTCTACTTTTTTGAGATATTTCCAGAAAGCTATTCAGAGAAACTGCACACAGGAATACCTTGGCAAAGCTGCCTTTTGCAGAAGACATGTGCATTTGTAAAAAAGAAAAAAGAAAAAAAAAAGAAAAAAACTGCATTGGTAAAATAAACAGACTTTCAATCCCAGCACTTGGGGAGGCTGAGGCGGGCGGATCATGAGGTCAGGAGATCGAGACCACCCTGGCTAACATGGTGAAACCCCGTCCCTACTAAAAATACAAAAAATTAGCCTGGCATGGTGACAGGCGCCTGTAGTCCCAGCTACTCGGGAGGCTGAGGCAGGAGAATGGCGTGAACCAGGGATGTGGAGCTTGCAGTGAGCCGAGATGGCGCCACTGCACTCCAGCCTGGGTGACAGAGCAAGACTCCATCTCAAAAAATAAAAATAAAAATAAAAATAAATAAACAGACTTTCTGAGGCCCCTCTCTTATCTGGGTCTAGGAAAGATTAACCAACCACAAACTATCATCTACTTTTTCTAAAGGCAGCTCAGAGATTACCTGGAATATTTTTATCTGCATAACAAAATTACCTTTGCTTGACATAAATTCCTCCCTTCATTTTTCTATAACCCATAATGTGACATTCTTCAGAGCTCAGAGAAACCTGTTTCTGGGCTGCTGTTCTTTAGGTTCATTAATTTCCTCTGAATATCATTTACTCCTACAAGCCTCCATCTCCCCTCTCTTCAATGAAGTGAATATTTAAGCATCAGTCATCTTCCTTTTCTTTCAGGATTTTTATTTGTATGACTCTCATGCTCACATATTCATGCCAATACATTTGTATGTCTTTTTTTCTGCTAATTTCTGTAGGGGACAAGGGAAAACTTTTCCTTTGTGCTCTGAAGATTCTATAAAAATCAAATTAAAAAGAAGCATATCAATGTAATCACTTGATGGCCTTTTCCTGCCTGCTGCACTAACACTGAGATCACAGCATTTGCAGTAAGGAAAGGATTTATTTGACAGGAAACTGGCCACATAGGAGACATGCTTTTTACCCAAATCAGTCTCCTTGAAGGCTTAGAGTTATGGTCTTTCAAGAAAATTTGGTATGCAGGGAGAAGACTAGGTAATGGCAGTTACTGATTGGTTGTGTTTCAGTATATAGCTAGTCAGGCATCAGAGGGGCATGAGAGGGCTCACCCTCCACCCACTGGGAATGTCAGGCAACCATCAGGTGATGGCCTAGCAGTTATCACACTGCCTCTCTAGAATGAGAATTGATTGCAGCTCATACCAGAGAGAGGCAGTTTCCAGATGGTTGGGCTCTCTAAAATAATAATTCATCACAGCCAATGCCAGAAAGAGGCAATTTCTCAATAGATAAAAACCCTTGAAATTGGTAATTGACAGCTTCCAATAACAACTCAGGAATGGGGTGAGTTGGCTTGAGCATGTACATTAAGAGACAAAATGGTAAAGTATGACCTTCCCAGGGCATTTCACCAGAAAAGGAAGAAAGCCTCAGGTGAGCATGCTTACGACTACTTAAACACACTGTGCGTGTTCACCTCCCGAGTGCAAGGAGGGCACCATGCATGCGGGTGACTCACCTTTAGGGAAGAATGAAAGGAAAGGGATGCAAGATGCTAGAAGTAGACCGGCATATAAAATCTGAGGTTCAAGGTTAAACAAGGTGCTTGATTTCCAAGATGCCCACTTGGATCCCTTCCAAGTGTATTTTCCTTTCTTTCCTGCTCTAAAGCTTTTCAATAAACTTCCACTCCCACTCTGAAACTTGCCCCAGTCTCTTTTTCTGCCTTATGCACCTCAGTAGAATTCTTTCTTCTGGAGAGGCAAGAATTGAAGTTGCTGCAGACCCATACAGATTCAGCACTGGCAACCTGGATATTTGCCACCGCTAACAGTTGGAGTTGCCATAATAGGAGTGTGAAAAATGGTCCTCATGCATTGAGTCCACCTCTCAGTGGGGGGCCACAGGACTGGTTGAGTCATGAATCAGAAGTCCAGATGGATTAACTTGGTTGCCAGAACACAAAAGTGTGCAAAAAAAATCTCAAAAGATGAATCTTAGCTTCCACAATAGTGATATTATCTATAGGAGCAACTGTGGAAGTCACGAATCTTGTCATCTCCAGCTACCTGACTCTTGAGCAGTAAGGGATTATAGAAACTATGCCTACATCTTAGCAGAATTCAAGTCCCTCTCATAATCTTACTTGCAGGGACTTTCATTAGTTTTACAAGGGTGATTTAGTTTGGGGAAGAGCTATTATCACCCTTGCTTTAAGATTAAACTACAAACTAAATCTCTCCCAAAGTTTGCTTGGCCTATGCCCATGAATTACTGAGGAGAGCTTCAAAATTATGAGTGAGATGAAGTCAATGATGTCAGATTTCTCTTATTGCCATAATTTTACAAAGGCAGTTTCATTAATGGGATAAAAGGCATACAAATTTTATTAACATGCATGAGGGGCAGGGGTTGGGGGAAAAATGATTACCCCAAACCCTCAATGGGATATAGAAGTGTTTTCATAGGGGAGGGAGGTGATAAGGAATGTAGAAAATTCTTTTGGGCAGCAGTAAGTGATTATTAGAGAGAATGAATGGACCAGGGAGACAGAAATTAACTCATAAGTGATTCTCTTTGGAATTTAAATCAGTTCAAGAGTCAGGCATTATCTTGCAAAAAAAGTCTATTTGGTGTGGTTGCCTTCTTTAGTCTTCTATTCTGAAATTGCTGACATTTCAGGGAAGAAATTGAAAGGAATTATGTTTCTGTTGGTATGAAGCTTTCCTGCTCTGCACTGAGCATCGTGGCTTATGCTTGTAATATCAGTAGTTTGGGAGTTCAAGGCAGGAGGATTGCTTGAGGCCATGAGTTTGAGACTAGCCTGGAGAACATGGGAAATCATGCCCTACAAACCATAAATTTTCATCAGATGGGTTTTATTTAATCCTATATATCATGACTTACTTTCCAACCTGACTCTGGCACAATATTATGAGACATGGAAGTAAATCAAAATATTTTATGTGAAAACATGTTTCTTTGCCATATCTTGAAATGGCCCTGCAAAGCTGTCCTTTGTGGAAGAAAATTTACATCTGTAAAGAATCTCTATTAACATAGCCAATCTTTTTCTTCCAGACCCTCCCAATCCTAAACAGATTGACTAAAAATCTAGCACCTTTTAAAGATCCCAATAGAAAACATTAGTCATCTATTGTCTCTAAGGGCAGCCACTATAAGGCTTCAAAATAACCTTGGTCTCCACAGTCTTTTATCTTAACCTTAACATTTCCTTTCTGTCAATCCCAGGTCTCTAGACCAACTCAACCAATTGTCAACCAGAAAGTATTTAAATTTGCCTATAGCCTGGAAGCCCCCACTTTGAGTTGTACCACCTTTCTGAACCAAACCAATGTATTTATTAAATGTATTTGATTGATGTCTCATGCCTCCCTATAAGGTATTAAAACCAAGCTACATCCCAACCCCCTTGGGCACATGTTCTCAGGACCTCCTGAGGGCTGTGTCACCAGCCATGGTCACTCATATTTGGCTCTGAATAAATCTCTTCAAATATTTTACAGAGTTTGGCTCTTTTCCTTGACAGTGACATTGATATGATATGGCTGTGTCCCCACCAAAATCTCATCTTGAATTCCCACGTGTTGTGGGAGGGACCTGGAGGGAGATAATTAAATCATGGAGGCAGGTCTTTCCCCTGCTGTTCTTGTGATAGCCAATAAATCTCATGAGATCTGATAGTTTTATAAGGGGGACTTTCTCGGCACAAGCTGTCTCTTTGCTTGCTGCCATCCATGTAAGATATGACTTGCTCTTTCTTGCCTTCCATCATGATTGTGAGGCTTCCCCAGCCACGTAGAACTGTAAGTCCATTAAACTTCTTTCTTTTGTAAATTGCCCAGTCTCAGGTGCGTCTTTATCAGCAGTGTGAAAACGGACTAATACAGACATGCAGCTGTGGTCTCAGCTACTCAGGAGGCTGAGGTGAGAGGATGGCTTGAGCCTGGGAAGTTGAGACAATAGTGAGCTATGATAGTGCTACTGCAGGGCAGCCTGGGTGACAAAGTGAGACCCTGTCTCAGAAAAAGAAAATGCTTCTTGAGGAGTGGGAGGAATGCAACAAGGTTAGAGGGACCTTGATTCTGAGGCTTATTTCTGAGGTCTTTTCATTTTCAAAAGCACAAAGCAGGCCCAAGCACCATATTTTTTGTATTCATTTTCTGCATCCCAATATTGTCTATTAGTTGGTTTTATAGACTCAAATAATTGAACCTTCAGGAGAAAAATTTAAACTTTTCTATTGATAAGGTTTGGCTGTGTCCCCAACCAAATCTCATCTTGAATTCCCATGTGTTGTGGGAGGGACCCAGTGGGAGGTGATTGAATCATAAGGGTGGGTCTTTCCCATGCTGTTCTCTTGATGGTGAATAAGTTTCACAAGACCTGATGATTTTAAAAAGGGGAGTTTCCCTGCACAGGCTCTATTCTCTTGGCTGCCACCATGTGAGATGTGCCTTTTACCTTCTGTCATGATCATGAGGCCTCCCAAGCCACGTGGAACTGTAAGTCCATTAAATCTCTCTCTCTCTCTCTCTTTTTTTTTTCTGTAAATTGCCCAGTCTCAGGTATGTCTTTATCAGCAGTGCGATATGTCTTTATCGGCAGTGCGAAAATGGAATAATACAGTAAATTGGTACCAGTAGAGTGGAGTGCTGCTGAAAAGATACTGGGAAAGGTGGAAACGACTTTGGAACTGGGTAACAGGCAGAGGTTGGAACAGTTTGGAGGGCTCAGAAGAAGACAGGAAATTGTGGGAAAGTTTGGAACTCCCTAGAGACTTGTTGAATAGCTTTGACCAAAATCCTGAAAATATGGACAATGAAATCCAGTCTGAGGTGGTCTCAGAGGGAGATGAGAAATTTTTTGGGAACTGGAGCAAAGGCGACTCTTGTTATTGTTTAGCAAGAGTTTTGCCACTGCCCTGGAGATTTGTGGAACATTGACTCTGAGAGAGATTATTTAGGGTATCTGGCGGAAGAAATTTCTAAGCAGCAAAGCATTTAAGAGGTGACTTGGGCGCTGTTAAAATCATTCAGTTTTAAAAAGGAAGCAGAGCATAAAAGTTCAGAAAATTTGCAGCCTGAGAATGCGATAGAAAATAAAATCCCATTTTCTGAGGAGAAATCCAAGCCGGCCGCAGAACTTTGCATCAGTAACAAGGAGCCTAATGTTATTCCCCAAGACAACTGGGAAAATGTCTCCAGGGCATGTCAGAGGTCTTCATGGCAGCCCCTCCCATAACAAGCCTAGAGGTCTAGGAGGAAAAAGCAGTTTTGCGAGCTGAGCCAAGGGTCCCTGTGCTGTGTGCAGCCTAGGGACTTAGTGCCCTGCATCCCAGCCACTCCAGCTGTGGCTGAAAGGGGCCAACATATAGCTCAGGCCGTGGCTTCAGAGGACGCAATTCCAAAGCCTTGGCAGCTTCCACATGGTGTTGAGTGTGCAAATGCACAGAAGTCAAGAATTGAGGTTTGGGAACCTCTGCCTAGATTTCAGAAGATGAATGGAAATGCCTGGATGCCCAGGCAGAAGTTTTCTGCAGGGGCAGGACTCTCATAGAGAACCTCTGCTGGGGCAGTGAGGAAAGAAAATGTGGGGTCTGAGCCCCCACATAGAGTTTCTACTGAGACACCACCTACTGGAGCTGTGAGAAGAGGGCCACCGTCCTCCAAAACCCAGAATGATAGATCCACTGACAGTTTGCACCGTGCGCCTGTAAAAGCCACAGACACTCAATGCCAACCTGTGAAAGCAGCCAGAAAGGAGGCTGTACCCTACAAAGCCACAGGGGTGGAGCTACCCAAGACCTCGGGAACCCACCACTTGCATCAGCGTGACCTGGGTGTGAGACATAGAGTCAAAGGAGACCATTTTGGAGCTTTAAGGTTTGACTGCCCTGCTGGATTTCCGACTTGCATGGGGTCTGTAGCCCCTTTGTTTTGGCCAATTTCTGCCATTTGGAATGGCTGTATTTACCCAATCCCTATACCCACATTGTATCTAGGAAGTAACTAACTTGCTTTTGATTTTACAGGCTCATGGGCAGAAAGGACTTGCTTTGTCTCAGATGAGATGTTGGACTGTGGACCTTTGAGTTAATGCTAAAATGAGTTAAGACTTGGGGGACTGTTGGGAAGGCATGATTGGTTTTGAAATGTGAGGACATGAGATTTGGGAGAGGCTGGGGTGGAATGATACGGTTTGGCTGTGTCGCCATTCAAATCTCATCTTGAATTTCCACATATTGTGATATGGACCTGGTGGGATGTGATTCAATCACGGGGGTGGTTCTTTCCCATGCTGTTCTCATGATGGTGAATAAGTCTCATGAGATCTGCTGGTTTTAAAAACGGGGATTTCCCCGCACAAGTGCTCTTTTCTTGTCTGCCTCCTTGTCAGACATGTCTTTCATCTTCTGTTGTGATTGTGAGGCCTCCCTAGCCAAGTGGAACTGTAAGTGCGTTAAATCTCTTTCTTTTGTAAATTGCCCAGTCTTGGGTATATCTTTATGATCAGCGTGAAAATGGACTAATACACCTATGCTATTAAATATTATAATTCTAAAAATGCACACCACCCCTAACAATGAAAATGGAATTTCATTAACAGGCTGTAAAACTGTGTAATTTATTTTTTTTTTTGCTTCATAGTTGTTACATTAAAATTTCTGTCTTATATTCATGTACATAGTAAGCCAGTGATAGATGCAGGAAGCAGATAAGGGAGAGGGTCTCCCGACAATCTCCTACCGGCCTGTGCACTGGGAGAACAGGGTGGAGCCATGGGAAGTTTGTGCTGTTTACACAGGGGAGGAGCCTGGCCTCTTCAGTTACTGTGTGTGGCCTAAAATCAACCTGTGAGGTGGCAGCCTGTTAGCAGGAACTCCTCTCGCTTTGTTGAGAGGTCTTTTGTTTTTTTTTTTTTTTCCTTTTTGCCCAATAAATTCCATTCCCCTCACCCTTCAATGTGCCTGCATGCCTAACTTCCTGGTCGTGTCACAAGAACTTGGTTTTAGCTGAACTAAGAAGCAAAGTTCTGCAACACCAGGGTTCGCTAATTATATGAAAGAAATTTGTCTGACATTATATCACAAGGCACATATGCTGCTGTGTTCTTTTCACACGAATCTAATGCCTTTATGTTCTATTCAAATTTCTTCTACACAGTCCTTTAATACTTTCTATGCATTCTCCAGAATACATGATTATAATTTAATTTCCTACTAATTCTTTCCTGTGGATACTATTCAGAGTGGAATTGGAAGGTGTAAGAGAACAGATAATGTGATTGATTGTGACTAATTTGTGTCCTGCTCAACCTGAAAAGAATTTTTGATCTGCTTAAAGTCAGTAGCAGTTGGATACCTCTTTGCCCCATTGAAAGAGCCATATGTGCTCTGAATGAAAGAAGGCAATTTATTTATTGGTATTAAATTTTTTAATGTAGGAAATATTTATCACATAAATTAATACTAACAATCAAAATGCCATTAACATAATGCAACACATTTGATAAAATATATGTTATGCAAATAATCACTTAAAAATTAGACACTAGGGACTTCAATAAAATTGTCTGCTAACTTTTGCAAAACACTATTTTCTCTTTTAAAAAACATTTTCAAAAGCAGTAAAAATGGCTAACATACAATTTTAAGAAAGATACAGGTAATAGATATTGTAGGGTAGCCAAGGGGACAATTCCTCTTTGCCCTCTTAAGGTTTGCTGAAAATCACTGACATGAGACACGTTGATTAATAAGAGAAAAGGCATACAAATTTATTCAATGTTTATACAGGAAACAAAGATCCAACCCCCCAATAAGGCAAAGAAGCTTATACACCAGCTTGATGTTACAGAAAGAATGGGACTCAGATCCTGGCAAAACAGATTTTGAAAGGGAGGAAGAAGAATTATGGTGAGGGGCAATAATTGAATAACAGGAAGAATAAATGGATGGGGAACAGATTAACTGGTAAATAGTTCTCTTTGGAATTTGAATACATTTGAGAGACAGACATTATCTTATATAAGAGTCTGTTCTTGTGTGGTTAAATTCTTGGTCTTCTTTTCGGCAATAAATAATTATATAATAGGGAAGAGAAAAACAACAACAATTGTTCTCCCTGGTGGGTCTGGACTTTGGGCCGATAGAGGAGCTTCAAATAACAACTTTGTCCCATGCTTTGGGAGAGGCTGTGGTGGAGGAGAGGTCAGCGAGACTTGAGGCTTCTTAAGTTCAGCACATTAAAACACCATATTCTGGGATATCAGTTTCTGAGCCCACAAAATATAGAGGTGTATAAAAAATGTTCTGTATTTGTGTAATGCCAACATCATTTCTGCTAAATTGCACTCTAGCTGTTATTTGATAAGATATATTTTAGCAAAAAATTAATAAATAATATGTTAACTAATTTCCTGTGGGGGTGCAAAATGGGTGATTTCTTTCCTCCCCATAAGGGTCACAGCTGACACCCTTAAAACAAAGACAGTTTAACAAGAGAGAAGCAAAATAATTATATTGAATCACAGTTTTATGTTACATGAGAACCTTCAGAATAAAGACCCAAAGATATGGGTGAAGGTGTCCATTATTATGCTTAGGTTTAATAAAAAATGGTCAACTGTGCAGAGCCATGACTGAAAAGAGAGTATAATAGCTAATGCTAATAGACTGAGTCGGGAAACAGCAAAGCCCGTCTGTTCGTATTTGTCCTAGCCTCTCTGTGCAGCATTTCTTCCTTCTGGATATAGGTAAGGACCCTCTTTTAAAAGGGGGTCTTATGACCTACTATCAAACAAAGTAGGTCAGATAAGTTCTTTATGGCAGTTAGGAGGAGTGGTCCAGGAGAGGGCTCTTTCTCCACCCATTAGGAATGTTGGGTAATTGTTCAGCAATTATCACATTGTAAAAGTGATAAATTGACAGCCGGTGTCAGGGAGAGGTCATTTTTTTTATGGTCCACACCTGTTGCACTAAAGTGTTAATTGTAGGTGCCAGAGAGATGCAACTTCCTGGGCATGTGCATTAAGAGACAAAATGGCAGAGTATGACCTTCCGAGGACACTCCACCAGAAAAGGGAAGAAAGTCTCAGATGAGCACGCATACAACTTCCTAAAAATACTGCGTGTACTCACCTCCCAAGGGTAAGAAGGGTACTGCATGTACAGGAAGCCCACTCTAAGGGAAGAATCACGGGAAAGGGGCCAGTCTATAAAGTTCTAGGATCAGGGTTAAAGATGGCACTTGACCTTCACATGCCCTCTTATGTCTATTCCAAGCGTACTTTCCTTTCTTTCCTGTTCAAAAGCCTTTTTAAATAAAATTCCACTACTGCTCTGAAACTTGCCTTGGTCTCTTTTTCTGCCTTATGCCTCTCAGTTGAATTCTTTCTTCTGAGGAGGCAAGAATTGAGGTTGCTGCAGACCTGTACGGATTCACCACCCTTAACTCCAATACCTTCCACCCCTAACATATTTGGTGCCATGAGACTCAGATATTTGCCACCAGTAACATATCTGGTGTTGGGAGACTTGGATATTTGCCACCCCTAAATACTTTCACAGAAAGAAGAGGAAAGTTAGGGTAATCATTTTTAGGTTTTATGACTATTACCTAATTTATCTTTGTTTATTATATTTCCATAGAAATGCCTCATTAAATATTTGAATGCTGAAATCATATAGAGGCCTTACTTTTGTGGAAGCCCATCTACAACATCTCTTCCAGAAAGGAAACACAGTGTTAACTGTCTCATGTGGAAAAGGAGTTCTAGTTTCTATGACCCATCTTGGAGAAAAGGGATTTTAGTTTCTATGGCTTCCCTTGGGGGAAAATGAGGGGGTAACAGACAGGAGTGCAGGAGAAGGACAGAGAAAACCTATGCTTCTGAGATCTTAATTTGGGGGTATTGTTTTATGAGCCTCAATGTTCTCCAATCTGAAACTTCCACAAAAAGATTCGAAGTCTAGAAATTGGGTTGGTGGGTTGTCTCATAAGCCATTGTCTCTGCCTCTTAATCCCCAAATAGGCCAGTCCAATTAAACAGTTAACAGTTATGTCTCATTTCAGGAAGTGTTGTTGTAGATGAGCTTCCAGACAAGTCAGACCTCTACATGATTTCAGTAATTAAATATTTATTAAGATGAATTTCTGTGGAAACCAAAAACAAACAAACAAAATAGTTCCTCAGATATTTTATGATTATCTACTACTTAATGTAACATAACATGACTTTTAGATTTTAAATAACTGAAAAGATTCTTGAAACTGACAAATTTCACTTATAAATATATAAATGTTTGTTTATATTTGCTTTTTTTTATTGTTTGCCTGGTACAATTTGTTTTGTTAATTTTCATTTTATTTTAATATATTTTGGGGTACAAGTGGTCTTCTGTTACATGGATGAGTTATACAGTGGTAAATTCTTTTTTTTATTATGCTTTAAGTTCTATGGTACATGTGCACAATGTGCAGGTTTGTTACATGTGTATACATGTGCCATGTATATGTGTGCCAGGTTTGTTACATATGTATACATGTGCCATGTGCCATATGTATACATGTGCCATGTTACATATGTATACATGTACCTGTTAACTCATCATTTACATTAGGTATATCTCCTAATGCTATCCCTCCCCCCTCCCCCAACCCCATTACAGGCCCTGGTGTGTGCTGTTCCCCACCCTGTGTCCAAGTGTTCTCATTGTTCAGTTCCCTACAGTGGTGAATTCTAAGATTTTGGTGCACCCATAACTCAAGTAGTGCACATTGTAACTAATGTGTAGTGTTTTTATCCCTAGCTCCCCTCCTACCCTCCCCCTTCTGAGTCTCTAAAGTCCATTATATCACTCTGTATGCCTTTGCATTATTGATAGCTTAGCTCCCAATTATGAGTGAGAACATATAGTTTTCGGCTTACCACCCCCGTGTTACTTCACTTAGAATAATGGCCTCCAGCTCCATCGAAGTTGCTGCAAAGGACATTATTCTCTTCCTTTTAATGGCTAAGTAGGAATCTAAGTATATATACCACATTTTCTTCATCCACTCATTAGTCAATGGGCACTTAGGTTGGTTCCACATCTTTGCAATTGTAAACTGTGCTGTTATAAACATACATGTGCAAGTTTCTTTTTCATATAATGACTTTTTTTCCCTTGGGTAGATACCCAGTTGTGAGATTGCTCAGTTGTATAGTAGGTCTAGTTTTAGCTCTTTAGGGAATCTTCATATTGTTTTCCATAGAGCTTGTTCTAATTTACATTCCCACCAGCAATGTATAAGCATTCCCTTTCCCCTACATCCACGCCAATACAGATGTTTTTTTTTTTGTTTTTTTTTTTTTGCTATTTAATAATGAGCGTTCCCGCAGGAGTAAGGTGGTATCTACAGACCTTTCAAAAGGTCCTTGAGTTCCTGTTCAGTACCTGCATTGCTTCTTGAAAACGTTCACAATATGATTCTCTATGCACTACTTTGTCCTTTCAATTGAGAGAGGTATGCTAGCAATGCTTCTAATGTGCCATCTTGAAAAATAAAATAAAATAAATTCCTTATTTTTAACAATTATATTTTAATTGCTCATAGAACACAGAGGTAGCTTTTTAAAAGTTATTTTCTTTTGAAAAAGCAAAGCAAAGTTAACTCTAAATCAGCCAGTCTCATCCTAACTCATGCATGTGAATCACTGGAGGCAGGATGTGGTCATACCGGGCTAGATTCTGCCCTGCAGCTGGTGGCCCAGGTGCTTTAAGCACACTCACGTCCCCAGGATTTACAATGGCGATCTGTCTAGATCCCAGAATACAGAGGCTCAAAATTAAGTACATAAGCTCACAACAAGATGTATGTTTTCTGGGAGGCCAGCATCCAGCCTCCTCAGGTTCCTCCTCCTCAGACAAATCAAGAATGCATCAACAATATTATAAAAGCAGAGATAACGAAAAGCTAAAATTTAAACCTGGTTTTTTCCTCTCCTTTAAATATCCAGGAGGTAACAAGCTTGCTTGAATAGGAACTCTAGGTTTAAAAAAGTATGCTTGTATAATAATAAATTCTGACACTTCTGAAGACATTTTTACTTTTAGTTCAGAGTTTTAAATCTAGCTTTATTTACCAAAGGTTATCTCAGATCACTTAAACTAAGATGCATTTGCATTAGTTTTTTTTTTAATTTTATCTTCAAAAAAGACTGTAAGATATATCGTCTACTATTAAAATAAATGTATGTAGGCTGTGGACTAGATTTTAGGTTTGAATGTTTCCAAAATTCATCTGGGTGAATTTGTTGCATTTTTTTCTAATTTGGTCTTCAGGTTTTTCTCTGGAAGGTGGTTATAAACTCCAGCCCTGGCCTGGCAGATTTATCAAGAGTGTAATTGGATTGTTTGCAACTCAATGGATAAATGCTGTGGGAATGGATACCCCATTCTCCAAGATGTGCTTATTTCACATTGTATGCCTGTATCAAAATATATCATGTACCCCATAAATCTGTACACCTACTATATACCCACAAAAATTTTAGAAAAAAAGCTAGCCACTCTCTAGGAAAGCCCTGATAAAGGGCCAGGTGAGTGGGAGAATTAAGTTCAAGTGTTTCAGTTAGATGAGACAGATGAGACACAGGATAATTTAAAAAAATGGTAGCAAAAAAAAAATCATAGGAATGTAATACAGGATTTTACAAATAATTAGACAAATTAGCATACGAGAAAATTCAGATATCATTGCTATTTACTGCCAATTTCTATCTGACTTGATCAGACATCTGAGACTGTTTTTTTTTAATCTAAGCATGTGAAGAAACTAAGAGGACAGGAAGCCAGAGATTTTCCCTGTAACAACCATTTTTTGCCACCACTGTCAGTTACCTTGAAAATTGCAGCTCTTGACAGTGACTTTTTAATGACTGTAAACTCAAAGTTCTAGTGTTCTCTCACACTATAAAATAACCCTTTGTACTCCCAAAAGCCAGAGATCACGGAACTCAAGGCAGAAGACAAAAGAGCTTTACACTTTAGAGGAACCCATCCATGACACTTGGGACTCCAGGAGAAAGAGAGGATCTCTAAAAAGGGTTTAGTGGTGTCCATTTTGTGTTCCTCAAATGATCTCAAAGATGCTACAAGTCTTACTTTAGTTCCCTCCATATGGTAGCCAGAACTCTAAGGTTTTGCCTTAGTAATTCTTATTCATTAACCACCAAATGGAGAAAGCATGGGCTGAAAAAAGCCAGCAAAAGGAAAAAAGGGGGAGAAACATATTGAATTAGTCTTAGAGGAGCCAGGTTAGGGAAATTTCAAGTTTTCTATAAAGGCCAATAAAGTTCTAGTTAGCAAAGCTTCAAGAATAAGGGGTTCAGTGGACTTAGAAGTTCCCATGGAAGAAATATAATTCAAAACCAGAGAAAAAGAGAAAGGCCTTTTTTTTTTTTTTAAAGTATAACCTGAACATCAGCTTTTAATTAAGCTGACCTTTGACCATAGAGATCTTTTTGAAAAAATATTTTTAAAATCTCTTAACAGATTTCAGCTAGGAGAAACATCTAATATTTCTGGTTTTCAAACTAGTTTTCCTTTTTTTTTTTTATTTTTATTTTTTATTTGAGATGGAATCTCGGTGTATCACCCAGGCTAGAGTGCAGTGGCACAATCTCAGCTCATTGAAACCTCCGCCTCCCTGGTTCAAGGGATTATCCCACCTCAGCCTCCCGAGTACCTGGGACTACAGGCATACAATAACACGCCAGGCTAATTTTTTTGTATTTTTATAGAGACGAGGTTTCACCATGTTGGCCAGGCTTGTCTCAAACTCCTGACCTCAGGTGATCTGCCCACCTCGGCCTCCCAAAGTGCTGGGATTACAGGTGTGAGCCACCACGCCTGGCCCCCTTTTCTAAACTGAAGTTTTCTACAAAGTGAGTCAGATACAGAACCAGTAACATGTTTATGTCTTAACCAAGCATGCACAAGGTGTCTCCAAAGAGGAGCAAGAAGCAGGCCTTACAAGGTCCAGAGCCACTTCCAAAGACAATTAAAAGAAAAGAAAAGGCTTAATTAACTCCTTGAGAGCTGGCAGTAGACAATATGCTAGCTCAAAATGAAATACAACTCGTATTCTGTAGGGCCATATTCTTTTAATGAGGGCCACCAACCTTTTGATTGGTTGCTTGGACACAACAGACCCAACAATCTGCATGCTCCTGAGGAACAACAAGCCAAAACAAGTTCTTAGGACACAAAATGAGACAAATAGGAGTGCAATAGCTGTTCATGGAAGAGAATGGATCAATAACAAATGGGTACCCCAAAACTAAATGTACAGAAGAGTCACAATACAAACAAATGATTTTCTCCTGCTAATCTAAATTTGGAAAGGAAGGAATAAAGAGACAATTATACCTTCTCTTCTAAACTGGGCACTACAGGCAGAGATCCAGAACAGACCCTGGTAGAACTTCTTACCTTTCTTTACCGTATTTTTGTCAGTTGTATCAGAATATAATTTTCAGGTTTCTGAGCAATCAGGTTCCTAACCATCTCATCATCATCATCAGAGCTGTAGAAGTGGAAAGGGGATGATTCCTTTCCTTTTTGTCATAAGGGTCATGGCCTGCATCCCTATAACAAAGACAGGTTAACAAGAGGAAAGCATAACACAATCATATGATCTTAGTTTACATGACACAGGAGGCATAAGAATGAAGAAAACACACAGGAGAAGCTATTCATTTTATGCTTAGTTTCAATAAAGAAATGACAACTGTGTCGACTGGACAAGAAGAATATTATCTAATACTAAAAGACTGAGGAATGAAACCCAGAAAGGCCTGTCCAGCTTTTTCATCGCCTCTCTGTGCAACATTCCTTCCTCCCATACATGGAGCAGGACTCTTTCTAGAATGGGGTTCTTATAACCTAAAATCAAACAAGCTAGGTTAGAGAATTTCTTTAGGAAATTTTAGGAAGTTTCATAGGAAACTTCCAAATAGGCCATAGGGGCAGATTGGGAGAGAGAAGGCAATGCTGCAGGAGTGGGGACCATAGGCATTTAGGTCACTGCTTCATATAACACATCTTTGCATTTAGAGCCTGCTGAAGCTCAGTCTGGAGTTATTGCTTTCATTTCATAATGAAGTGCTGCTATACTTCCTTAACTTTATGGCTTGGTATTTCAGAGACTATCTAGT
This sequence comes from Homo sapiens, assembly GCF_000001405.40. NCBI lineage: Eukaryota > Metazoa > Chordata > Mammalia > Primates > Hominidae > Homo > Homo sapiens. The sequence goes on along the minus strand of NC_000023.11, from coordinate 89,553,886 downwards.
TAGTTATGGGCAGCTTCAGTTACATGGTAACTTGGTGGCCTGTGGTTAAGCATTCAGTCTTTGCCATGGCCCAATAGTGAGTCAAAGGCTGTCTCTCAAAAGAAAAGTAGTTATCTGCAGAGAATAGCAGAGTTTCCTACAAATTCCTGAGGCCCTGCACTGTGATTTATCTATAAGGTCCTACCAAAGGCTCCAAACAGCATCCCTATCTGACATGAACATTTCAAGCTCCATTTTATTTGCTGCATCATATAGCTCAAGTGACAGAGCAGCATGCACAGCATCCTGCACCTGCTGCAGAGTCTTCTCTTGTTCTGAGCTCTACTCAAAACTGACAGCTTTTTGGGTTACTCAATAAATAGGCCAAGATAGCATACACGAATGAGGAATATGTTGCCTTTAAAATTCAAAAAGGTTCACTAAGCATTGTGCAACTTTTTTGGTTGTGGGAGGGGTCTCATGCAAAAACTTATTCTTCAGCTTATAAGGGATATATTTACATGACACAACCACAGTACTATAGCTATTTCGCTCTGATAAAGGTCTCTGATGTGTATTGAGATTTATTTTCTACTCTCTCACCAATATCTTACCATTTATTCTAGAATTATCGCTACCTCTTGTTCTATAGATCCAATCAGCATAATGATACTAGTGTATTTGACCAGTGTGACTTCTTATAGAAGAAAAAGGTGATCAAAATCTCTGAAAAATTATGACATAAGACAGAATAGCTAATATACCCCCTGAGTTAGGACAGTGAAGTTTTATTGTTGGTCATACAAGCTGAAATTAAGCTGCTTCTCATGGCTCTTACTAAAAGGTAAAGAGATAAAAACATTTTCCAGATCAACAGCTCCATACCAGGTACCAGAGGATATGTGGATTTTCACATTGGTACAGCAGCTGCAGTTGGAGCCACCACCAGGTTAAGAGTATGATAATCTATGGCAATCGTCCAAAATTTGTTTTCTGTACATACCAAGTAGGTGACCTGAATAGAGATATGCTGATTATCACTGCTCCTGCATCCTTAATGTCCACTGTGGTGATGCTAGTCACTGCGGTCCATCCAGGAATATGTCATTTCTTTTTTTTTTTTTTTCTTTTCTTTTCTTTTTTTTTTTTTTAACGGAGTCTCACTCTGTCGCCCAGGCTGGAGTGCAGCGGCGCATCTCGGCTCACTCCAAGCTCCGCCTCCCGGGTTCAGGCCATTCTGCTGCCTCAGCCTCCAGAGTAGCTGGGACTACAGGAGCCTGCAACCACGCCCAGCTAATTGTTTGTATTTTTAGTAGAGACGGGGTTTCACCATGTTAGCCAGGAGGGTCTCAATCTCCTGACCTCGTGATCCGCCCGCCTCGGCCTCCCAAAGTGCTGGGATTACAGGCGTGAGCCACTGCGCCCGGCCTCTCTTTTTGTTTTCTATTCTTCCAGGTATGTGATATGGATTGGCTCTGTGTCCCCACCCAAATATCATCTGGAATTGTAATCCCCACATGTCAACGGAGGGAGGTGACTGGATCATGGGGGCGGTTTCCCTCATACTGTTCTCATGATAGTGAGTGAGTTCTCATGAGATCTGATGGTTTTATAAGCATCTGGCATTTCCCTTGCTCACTCTTCTCTCTCTTGCTACCATGTGAAGACGGTCCTTGCTTCCCGTTCACCTTCTGCCATGATTGTAAATTTCCCGAGGCCTCCCCAGCCATGGAGAACTGTGAGTCAATTAAGCCTCTTTCCTTCATAAATTACCCAATCTTGGGTAGTATCTTTATAGCAGTGTGAGAATGTACTAATACATACTGGCTCCCACCTGACCTTTCCTACCATAATGACCTTCATTCCACAAGTCAGGGAACCCATGTGGGGACTGTGCCAGTTCCTGAGATTATCTATACCAATTATAGATTATGAAACTAGGGAATTAAGCACAGAATGATTTGGGGCACCCTCTAGACCCTGAAGGTGGACCAGAGCTAAAACATTGATCATCTGACCTCTATAAGTTCTTACTTTGGTGCAACAGAGTGATGTTATTAGTGTCAGTTCAGAGCCAGTATGCAGTAATTCCTGAAAGTTTCTGATTATGTCGTTTTTCTCACTGCACAGACATCATAGTGAAAGGACATAAATCTCTTGGAAGAATGCTTGTAGTAAGATTAACTGTGTAAATTTTTGGCAATGTAACAGACTCTTTTCTCAAGTGGACCCAGTCTTTCTTTCATTAAAGGGGTTCTGGGTCTGTAAACTGGCTTCATGTCTGGGAATTGATTAAGAGGTCACAACTACTATCTCTTTTTACGATTCAGGCTAGATGTTTGTTGACTTTACCTAAACATTTTCTATTTATACAGATAAAGTAAGAATTTAGTAGGTTTCCTATCAATTTCACATTTAGAAACACTGTGATTAAATACCCAACACCATAGGTCTCTTCAAGTCAGATTATTCTGATTACTTCTTTGACTCTGATGTCCATTATAGTAACCATGTCCACTTTTTCGGGGGGAATTGAGTGCTGCCACTTGACCCCTGCCACCTTAAGATCCAATTTCCCTTATTGCATTTAGATTTCCCAATTTGGTGGCAGTAGTTTCCAGTGTAAGTTCTGACTCACAGAGAAGAATGACCATAGAGGTGTTCAAGGATGCTAAAGCTCCCCTAACATTTTTTTTTTTCTCATGGTAAAAGATTTGTTATTTGGACCCTACTGACATGGATGAGCAGGTCTTAAAAGACAAATGCACTCTTACATTCCAATCTCTCTAAGTGCTTTAGTTCCTTCACCGACAGCATACCAAAAAAAAAGTTTTGACATCTCTCCTTCATTTGCTGAGGGCCACCTTTTGGTCCATGTTTCAGACAGCCAACCAAATCAACTACTGAAGCCCTTTATAAATTCCTGGGCTACAACCTTAATTTGAGAATCTCTGTTTAGTGGGCTCATATCAATAAATTTAGCCTAATCCAACTTTAACTTTCTTCCACCATGATCTCACATGTGTAAATTGGAAAAAAAAAATGTAGTTCTTTTGAAGTGTAACACACCTCATGAATCACACTTTGTATTTCACCTTTCAGTCCCTTCTGGGACTTGAGTCTAGTTATAGGTATAGAAGTAAAGAGTAGTGTTGAGGGTGGATCATGAGAAGAAGCAGTATCTTGCAAGGCAGTTACCTTAGGGGAGCCATTACAGTTTCCTTAGGCAGTGTAGGATTAATCTCCTTAGATGGGGTTGCAGAGGCTTCTCTACTTACAGAGAAGACTCATGAAAATTTAAGGACTCAGCATCCTTAGGTTCATCACAGTCTGCCCTGATATCCCATTTCAAGTTTCAGGATTCCATTTCTTTCCAATCAATGATCTCACTTTAACAGCAGACATTTTCTGAGGTTTGAAATTCAGTTTGGGTTGTGATTCAGCCACTTACCAAATGAAACTCTTGGTTTGTTTTTCAGCAATCTCATCTCTGAGGGTACAAACAATAAGGGTTTATTTCAGGGCAGACATGGAAACTTTCCGGTCATTTATGTCACACACAGGCTGACACATAAATACCTGAGCTTATGCTCTGTTTTCTCCACTTTGTTCAGCAAGATTAGGAGTAACCAGCCTGTTTCCTTATATTCATTGGTTTGTTAAGAATGTTCTAAAATACCAAATACATAGTCATTCAAAATCTTGCCTCTTATAAGTATTTGATTGGGAGTATCCAATTGTGATATTTTGTGTATTTTTATTGCCACAATATGCCATGGACTCTCAGTGTTTTTTTTTTTTTTTTTCTTCTTTTTTCCTTGCTGGAACTTAAACTCATTCTGGAAATGGATGTTCCTTTCCCACATGTGCAATGCTTCTGCTAAAACTACCATCTGTGGACTCACAGAATGCCTTACCATGTATTCCATACTTATTGCTTTGTATCAAGAAACCTACTTCACAGCAAATAAGGTGTGGCAATGGGCCTATGCTTATGGAATTTATTGGTCTTACTATGTTTCTCACCATTATAAAGCAGCAGGCTTAATAGAACAGTGGAATGGCCTTTTGATGACTCAGTTACTATGCCAACTAGGGTTACTATCTTGAAAGGCTGGGGTAAGATTCTTCAGGACAATGTTTATGCTCTGAATCAGCATCTAATTTGGTGCTGTTTCTCCCATAGCTAGGATTTCTGTGTCCAGCATTCAAGGAGTGGAATTGGTAGTGGCACGATTAGCTATTACCCCTAATGATCCACTTTGCTTCCTGTTGCCGTGACCTTATGCTCTGCTGGCCTAAAAGTCTTATTTCCAAAGGGAAAATACTTCTGCCAGGAGGCACAATAATGATTACATTGTACTTGAAGTTAAGAATACTACCTGGCTACTTTGAGATACTTATCCCATTGAATCAATAGACAAATAAGTGAGTTATTGTGCTGGTTGAGGTGATTGATCCTGATTACCAAGGGGAAATTAAACTGCTACTTAACAATACCATAAGAATACAGGAGTCTGAAATACAGGAGATCCCTTGGAGTATCTCTTAGTGTCACCATTTGCTATGTTTAAAGTGAATGGAAAACTGCAACAACCCAATTCAGACAAAACTGCTAATAAAGCAGACATTCCTGAAATGAAGTTTTGTTTACCCCACCAGGTAAATACCCATGACCAACAACTGAGGTGTTTGCTGAAGGCAAAGGAAATGTTAAATTGGTAGTAGGAGATTGTAGTTGTAAATAGAAATGCTCCTTGACTTATAATGGGGTTACATCCTGATAAATCCATTATAAGTTGAAAATATTGTAAATGAAAAATGCATTTAATACACATAACCTATCATACAGCATAGCTTAGCTTAGCCTACCTTAAAAATGCTCAGAACAGTATTATGAGACAGTATCATACAACATATTGCCAGCTTGGGAAAAGATCAAATTTCAAAATTTAAAGTATGATTTTTACTGAATGTGTATCACTCTCACATCATCATCAAGTCGAAAAATTGCCAGCAAAACAATTGTAAGTTGGAGACTGCCTGTATATTCCATGACTGTATGATGAGTTACAGAAATGAGGATGTAATTGTCATAAATAGTTTTTCTTATTTTGCTGCAAACATATTTATATGTATATATATGAGTAGAAATATATATACATATATACATTCAACTATCTATATAATGTTCAGTAAATATCATTTTTCTTCTATATCTAATCCTTTTTTTATATAATATAAGGTATTTTTATTTAACAGCATAATATTTAAGCATTTTTAACTGTATATTATAGTAATTAAATTCTAGAATATCAAGAAGAAAAGTGAATATTAAACAAAGATTTTGCATCCTTTTCTGGAGAAAATGTTAGTGCATTTTTAGTTGTATGTAGTAAAATGTATCATGTTAAGCAGAAGTATAACTTTGTAATTTTGTGTATTTTGAGATTATAGTTTGATATGTATATGAGTGCCAAATTGACAAAAGGTAGACTTGTGATGGTTAATTTTATGTGTCAATTTGGATAGGCTATGTACCAATGTATTTGGTGAAACATATTAGGATGTTTCTGTGAAGGTATATTTTGGTGAGATTAATATTTAAGTTAGCAGACTTTGAATAAAGCAGAATGCCCTCTATAATGTGGGTGGGCCCCATGCAATCATTTCCAGGATTTAAGAAAAAGACTGATCTTCTCTGAGAAAAAGGGAATCTGCCCACTGACCTCCTTAGTACTGGGGCTGAAACATAGACTATTCCATGAGTCTAGCCTGCTTGCTGGTCTACCAGCAGAGCTGGGACTTGCCAGCCTCCACAGTTTTGCGGCCACTTTCTTAAAGTAAACTCTCTCCCCTCCCCTGAACCCACACACACATTCTATTGGTTCTATTTTTTTTCTGGAGAACACTGTCTACTATAGGAATAAAATACCATAATAAGATTGCACTAATCACAATTTATTCCTGAAATGGGAAGGAACCCAATGTCATCTAATACCTGAGCAGAAGTGGGGATTTGTGACAAAGAAAAATATGGGGAATATATATTCAGTGGAAACAAATAGTGTCTGTTACAATCATATTTTGGATGTCTGCAATCTTGATTGTGAAATTGACTATTTTTACTAAGCACAAGTTTGTATCAAAAAAGAATACATCCTTCAATGAGGAAACACAAATGACCAGACTTCCTTCCTTCTTTCTTTTCTCCTAACCCAATTGTAGGGATATACAGAGAGAAAGACTATAGAGAAAGAAAACCTCTGATTCTATGGGAATTTGTCTAGTTAAATAATGTGTACTGACATATTTGAACCAACAGTTAAAAAACAAACAGTAACAGATCTTTATTGAGCACCTTTTGCGTACAGGTTCTGAAGACATAGCAGTTGATAAAACAGGAAGAAAAAAATAGCCCCCAGATATTACATTCAAGTGTTGTGTAGATTCATTGTATTAATCTATAATGTACAAAGTAAATATATCTCTTTCCATCTGGTTCTTAAAGTATTTTAAATGGCTTTATTAACACATAAATCACATGGATAATGGATACAAAAATAGTTAGAAAATGTGAATAGTATTTAGTATTTGATACCACAACAGTGACTATCATCAATAATAATTTAATTGTACATTTTACAATAACTAAAAAAGTATAATTGGACTGTTTGTAACACAAAGGATAACTGCTTGAGGGGATGGATACCCCATTTTGCATGACGGGGTGTCTTTATCAAAATATCTCATGTACTCCATAAATATATACACCTACTATGTACCCACAAAAATTAAAAATAAAAAAATAAAAAGATGTAATTTACATGCCATACAATTTATGCATTTAAATTTTATAATTTAATGGTTTTTAGTGTATTCAATTATATATGCAACCATCATCACAGTCAATTTAGACTTTTCAATCAGCCTCCAAAGAAACCACATTCTATTACATGTTTGTGGATTTGTCTATTTCTCCATTCAGATCCATGCATTTTAATTTCATTTAATTTTAGGCTATCTTGTTTTGTGCTTACACATTTCGGATCATCATGCCTTTTTTGTTGGCTAATCTATTTATCATTGTGTAATGCTCCTCTTTGTCACTACTAATTTTCATTGCACTAAAGTTCTACTGCTGCCACTGTGGCTGTAGACCCATCCCCTGCATCACACCCACGGCTGCATACTGGTGTGATGCAGGGGATGGGTTGGCCCCTGGATCTCTGGTGGTGACTCAGCAATAGGCAGTTCAGGCAGCTTGCTCCATCAGGTATGGGTTTGCTCATTAAGTCCCAGCTGAGATTCTCATTACCCTCCACTACACGCCCCCCTTCCCCCGACCTTATTCCCCAGAGCTAACCTCTTGGCAGTTCTGGGTTTCAGATCTCTGTTATGTTCCATCCAGGATATATGGAAGATAAAAAAAGAAAAAAGCACAAAATTCACCATGATTATGTTCTTCAAGTCCTGATGTCCTTAGGCATTTCACCTTTCTTTCCACCCTTCAGAATTCTTCTTTCATTTTGAATTATTTCTAGGGCATTTGGTTTTATTGAGCAGGAAAGAAAAGGAAATGGAAAGTCTAGGCCATCTTGTCTCAGAACCAGAGCTCTACATCCATATATAAAATATATATTTAAGATTTGCATGCAGGTTTATTGAAAAGTGTTCTTGTGATTAACACCTGTAATAGTGAAGGAAGCAGGGTTGGCAGTGGCAGAAGTTCAATAGCAATGCAACCACTACAACTCCCTGTTTTGTATACAGGGAATTCTGGAGCTGAAATGATCTTTCAGAGTTTCCAGGTGAAGCAAAGGGTGGAGTATTTGTAAGCTATGCAATAATCACTGGAAGTAAGCTACCTCCAGGACAGAAGTACAATCTTGGGAGAGGTAGTTTACTTTCAAAGAGGGTGATTTTTTGAGAGTGTCTAAGCTGTGAGCCATTGACAATCAACATTCCTGACAGCTTAGGGAATGAATTCCTAGATCTGCCACATAGATGTCAGCACCCACTACACCTAGAGAACTTGCAAAACTTTCAGACTGAGACTCTAAAGCAGGATATTCTGAATAGGAAAATCTACAGTTGAGCATGCGATATCTGTACTTTAAAATTCTCCACAAGTATTTCTGGTACGCAACCGGGGTTGAAAACTGCCTGTTTATTTGATTAATTATCAGCCTGGTTCTGATGGATACATGCATGAAGGAGATGGAAAAGAAGAAAAAGACTAACATGAAATGGGAAGAATCTGTGAACATGTTTAGAGAGCCTACATCTTTTAGTGAGTCATGAAGTAAATGTAATGATTTCATTGATGGTGATAAGAGAGAATTTTCAGTGAATATGTAATCAAGCAATATAAGTGAAAGCACAACATGCACAGAAAATTCACGAGGTAGTAATCATATAGTGATTTTAATTATACGCTTTATACACAGATCTGGGACTAATTTTCTGATATCATGTGCTGTGTGACATTCTGTAAGACAGTAGTCCCCAGCTTTTTCAGTACCAGGGACCAGTTTTGTGGAAGACAATCTTTCCGTGGATGGGTGTGGGGTGGGATGAAACCGTTCCACCTCAGATCAGATCAGATCATCAGACATTAGATTCGCATAAGGAGCACACAACTTAGATCCCCCACAGGTGCAGTTCACAATAGGGTTCACACTCCTATGAGAATACAATGCCACTACTAATATGATAGGCAGTAATTCTTGCTAGGCTGCTGCTTACCTCCTGCTGTGCAGGCCAGCTCCTAACAGGCCACAGAGCAGTACCAGTCTGTGGCCCCGGGGTCAGGGATCCCTGATGTAAGATACTGAAACTTTTGAAATCTTCTTTCCATGAAATGAAGTTCTTTCATTCAATAACGATTTATTGAATGTCTACCATATACAAATCACTTCTCTAGGTACTGGTGTACAGTGTTGAACAAAACAGTCATGGTCCCTATTCTTGTAGGCATAATATGTACCTCTTAAAATTGTTGCCTGGATATGACATACTGCATATACAAGTACTTATCACGCTGCTTAGTACATGTGGGCTCAATGAGCTGCTTAGTACAAGTGAGCTTAGTACACGTGAGCTTAGTACATGTGAGCCAGCTGTTGTTTGTGTTAATAGCATAATTACACCTGGAGCAGGATGTCTAGTGACCTGTGAATAGACAGTAAAGATCAGTTACAGCAAGATATTTAAAATCAAATTTAAGACTTTTGACACACATTCATAAATTATAGAAAGGAGTTGTGGATTTTCTTTTTTAAGTTATATTTTATTTCTAATTGCAAATAATAATTTTATATATTTATGGGGTACAATGTGGTGTTTTGTTACATGTACATTGTGGAATAATCAAATATGGTCAATTAACATATTTATCACACCCAAATACTATCATTTCTTTGTGGTGAGAGCATCTAAAATCCTTTTTTTAGCCGTTTTGATATAAACAATATATTATTATTATCAATTACAAATTAGGTATAGAAGAAAAGTTCACCAACAAGAAAATCCATGTATGACAATCCAACAGCTAACATCATACTCAATGTGAAAAGTTGAAGCCTTTTCCTCCAAGATAAGGAAAAAGACAAGAATGTGGCCTTTCTTTCTAAAAATTTTTTAAACATGGCAAATACTTTTTAAAACATATTTTTAAACTTACTGTCCAATACACCAAAACAGTCAAATGGGGAAAGTTAATTTCTTCAAGAATGGAAGGTGGAAAAATTGCATTTTCATATGAAGAAAAGTAATCTCACATCCTCACATCATACATAAAAGATAATTCAAGATGGACCACAGAGTAAAAGGTAAAATTTCAAAATACAAGGTAAAAGAAATCATACTACAATACCTCCATTAATTAAGTGAAGGGAAGGAAATCTGAAGTCATAAGAAATAATAACCATAATAAAAAAATGGAAAAACTAGACTTCACCAAAATGTAAAACTTCTTAGCAAAATACCCTGTTAAGAAAATGAATAGACCGGGCGCGGTGGCTCATGCCTGTAATCCTAGCACTTTGGGAGGCAGAGGAAGGTGGATTGCCTGAGCTCAGGAGTTCAAGACCAGCCTGGGGAACATGGTGAAACTCCATCTCTATTAAAAATACAAAAAATTAGCCTGGCGTGTTGGCGTGTGCCTGTAGTCCCAGCTACTCGGGAGGCTGAGGCAGGAGAATTGCTTGAACCTGGGAGGCGGAGGTTGCAGTGAGCCAAGATCGTGCCATTGCACTCCAGGACAGAGCGAGACCCCATCTAAAAAAAAAGAAAGAAAGAAAGAAAAGAAAATTAATAAGCAAGTCAAAACTAGCAGAAACTATTCAAAAAATATATATCTGACAAAATGCTGGTATTGATCATATATTTTAAAAACACAAATCTATTTAAAAACAACAATTTTTTAAAATAGGGAAGTATTATAACACTCCATTTAAATAAACTTTTTTGTTTAAGAAATAGGGAAGTATTCTAACACACACTTCACCATTAACATGAAAAAGTCATCAGAAAGATTTTTTCACATTAAATATACAGTGTAGTACATTCACCAGAGTGGCTAAAATTACAAATAAAGACTAACAACACAAAATGCCATTTGAGTGTAAAGCAAATTAACTCTAATTGTTAGTAGGAGTGTAAAAAACCACACTAAGTTTGATAAGTTTAGAAGACTCTTAAAAATCTAAATAATACTTATTCTTAATTGTCAAGAACTGGAAATACAGACATCCATCAATAGGAGAAAAGATTAACATTATATGGATAATTAGTATTACTAGACCGATTAAACTCTTCTTCTGCCCCTGAATCCTTGTCAATCACGGATCTTTTCAACATTGCTATAGATTTGCCTTTGCTGGAGTATGGTATCATTACAATCATATGATATGAAGCCTTTTCTGACTGGCTTCTTTCACTTCACAATATGCATTTTAAATTCATCTATGTTTTCTGTGGCTTGATAGTTCAATTTTAAAAATCAATAGATTTTTTTTTAGCTGTTTTTGCCTTACAGAAAAATTGAGTAAAAGGTACACAGAGCTTGCTCTGGGGTTTCTCCCCTTTCTCCAGTTCCCATTATTATTGGTATCTTGCATTAGTGTGGTGCATTTATTACATTTGACGAGTTAATATTAATATGTTGTTATTAACTGAAGTCCGTAATTCCCATTAGAGTTCACTCTTGGTGTTGTACACACTATGGATTTGAACAAATTCTCATATACAGTGATATGTATCTACTATTATAGTTTCATAAAGACAGTTTTAATGCCCTAAAAATCTACCATGATAGATTTATTCATCCCTCCCTCCTCCCCCCTAAAACCCTGGCAAACACTGATCTTTTTATTATCTAATTTAAATTTTTCCAGGATGTGAAAAAAGTGAAATTATATTATATGTAGCTCTTCCAGACCAGTTCCTTTCAATTAGCAATGCACATTGAAGATGTATCTAAACATTCACTGTCAAAACCAATCACCTAGATTTTGTGCTGTCATCATATCCGAGTTCTATAGTTTTGTATTTCATATTTAGATCTATGATCCATTTTGAGTTTTGTGTGTGTGTGGAGAGAAACATGTAAAATTTGTGTTTAGATTCATATTTTTTTTGCATATGTTAGACCAAATATTCCAGCACCATTTGTTGAAAATACTATTCTTTCTCCATTTAATTGACTTTGCTCTCTTGCCACAGGTCAGTTGAATATATTAGCATGGTTGATTTATGGAATTTCTATATTGTTACCTGGATCTATGTTTCTATTATTTGCTAATACTACGTTGTCTTAATTACTGTAACTTTACAGCAAGTCTTGTCATCATGTAGGGTGTGTCCTCAAACTACTTCTTTAGTATTTTGTTGTCTATTCTGTCTTTTGCTTTTCATACAAACTTTAGTGTTTCAATATATACAAACAATTTTCTGAGTTCTAATATGGAGTGCATTGAATATGTAGATTAAGTTAAGAAGAATTTGAGGCACGATAAGTAAGATTAGGAGCCTATACTGGCTTGTCCCTTTGTATGAAGCCCAGTGGGCGCTGCATCCCTTGCACACCTGTGCATCAGCACCTAATTCTTTTGCAAGGTAAGCAGTCCTACAGGATACCAACAGACTGCTAGATAGTTACATGTTCCTGATACCTAGTACAGCCTGGGAAAAAGAAAAAACGTCCCTTATTCCCGATGTAACTTCCCCAGTCTCCCATCAATCAGCACCAAAAGCCCAAGAGATATTAGCTACAAATTCCTGCCTGGGTAGGGGGCAACAGGGGCTTCTCTGGAGTCCCATATGTGCAGCTAGGCTCAAGGTTTAATTTAGTAACCTTTCCCTTATTTTGACAGTAAAAAAAACACGCTCCCTAGGTGGAGATTTTCTACGCTGATGATACATGTGATGCATTTTATAGCATGTAGATACTAAGCACATTTACCGACCACAGGCCCGCCTTTACATAGTTGACCTCATCAGTATTTTATGAATATGTATGTACAGGTTGCATAAAGGGAATTTCCCTTAAGACACTAGGGGCTGTCTTGCTTTTTGAGCAGCCCACTCTGCCTCTCAGTGAGTACTTTTGCTTTGCAATAAACTTCTTTATTTTGACTTTGCAATAAACTTTTGCTTTGCAATAAACTTCTTTACTCTGACTTTGGACTCCCAGTGAAGTCAAGAAATTGAATCAGGCCACTGACAACAAATGGACATATTAATATTGAGTCTTCTAATTCATAGACACAGAGTAACACTCCATTCATTTATTTCTTGATTTATTTATTTTTCTCCATTTATTTAGAGGTTTGATTTCTTGCATAAGATTTTTGAAGTTTCCCCACATAGATCCTGTATATGTTTTAATAAATTTATATCTAAGTATTCTGTTTTTGGGTGCTATAATAGTGGTGTATTTTTTATTACAGTTCTTATTTCTATAACTAATTGCTGATATACAAAACATCAATTTATTTTTATTTATTTTCCTTTTATTCTGCAACCTTGCTATATTTATGCATTAGTTCCAGTAGTTATTTTGTCAACTCTTTTGGATTTTGTTAATTCTTTGGGATTTTCCACATAGAGAACATGTCATCTGTGAGTAAATACCGTCATTTTACTTCTTCCCAGTCTATATATATTTTCTACACTTGTTTTGTTGTACAAGCTAAGACATTCCAATAGTACAATGTGGAATAAGTGACAAGAGAGGACATTCTTGACTTATTCTTGATGGTGGGAAAGCATACAGTTTCTCATCTTTAAGTATAATGATAGTTATTTGTGTGACGAACAGTGTTTTGTAAGTGTTCTTTAACAACTATTCCTTTCTATTTTTTGTTTGCTGGGAGGGTTTTTCTTTGGGTCTAGTGATAAAATCATATGATGTGATTATTTTTCTCATTCTGTTCTTATGGTAGACTACATTATTATTAGAATGCTGAAACAGATTTGCATACCTAGAGTAAATTTTAGTAAATTTTACTGAATATAGATTTTTAGGTTTGTGGGTTTTTTTAAAAAATTACTTTAAGTATTTTATTACACTCTTTTCTTGCTTACACAGTTTTTGATGAGAAACGACTGTAGTTTTTAATTCTTTTTTCCATGGTAAGGTACCAGTTTTTATTCTGGTATTTATTTCTTTCAAGATTTTCTCTCTTTTTACTTTTCTACAGTTCAAACATATATGCCTAGGAGCTTCCTGTTAAGTTCTTCAACTTGGTGTTTCCTGTGTTTCTTGAAACTGTGATTTGCTATCTGTTATTAATTTTGAATGTTTCCAAGCATTATCACTTCAAGTATTCTGTTGTCCTTTTTTCCCTTTTGTTATTACAATTAAGAATATGCCACACCTTTTGAAGCTGTTCCACAATTTTCTTCCTTTTCTGTTTCATCAGTTTTTTGTAATCTTTGCATTCTAGTATGGAAAGCTTTTATTGCCTTATCACTAAGCTTGCTTATTCTTTCTTTGTCCATATACTGATAAGCCTGTCAAGGGCCTTCGTTTTGATTTTTAGAGTAGTTTTTATTTCTGGTATTTTCTTTTAATTTTTTTTTTTTAGTGCTTCCATCACTGTTCTTTTGTGTTACCTTTTTTTCCCTTTAGTATCCTTAACATTTTAGTCACAGTTATTTTATATTGTCTATCTTACAACTCCAATATCTATGTTGTATCTGAGTCTGGTTCTGATTCTTCCTTTGATTCTTAACACTGTGTTTCACTTGCCTTTTTGCCTGCTTTATTTTTATTTTTCTTGAAAGGCAGACATTGTACCAGGTAATAATGTTGTGCGACTTTTTCCTTAGTTGAGCTCAAGACTGGGTCCTTATCACAAGGCCACAAAAAACTAGGCTGGCAGACAATTTGAAGAGTGAGGAGGGCAGGGTTTATTGGGTGAAAGAAAAAGAAGGAAACAGGGACTCTCCACAAGGCCAGAGTCCCTCCTAGAGTGCTTCCTGCCTGGCAGATTGAACTCCAGGTTCCACCCAGGAAGAGGAGGGACCAGGCTCCTCCCCGCTGCAAACAGCGTGAAATTCTGTGGCTCCACCCCAGCGCACTGCTCCCAGTGTGCAGGCCGGCTGGAGTTTTTCCGGGGATCCTTTCCTACCTGGCTGTCTCAATAAGAACTGAGGTAAGTACAACTTTAGCAATTGGCCTTTGCTCATTGTTTGCTGTTTGTGTAGGTGTCAGAGGCTACAAATTTCTCCACTATCCTTGTTGTTATCTCCACTGTTGTCTTTTGCTCAGAGAAAGCCTGTGCTGTTCAACTCTTTAGAATGTAATCCACTGTTGTTGTACCGTAGGTGGTAAGTTATGAGGAAGTATATTGTTCTATAATCATCTGGGTAAACTTTAGTCTTTAAGCGGGCCTGTGTCTCAGGTCTGTAGCTTCACAAGTGTTTCTCCTGTGGTGTAACCTTTTTCCCTGCTTGTCCCCTACTCCCTTCTTTGGCTGCAGTATTCTGAATTTATTTCCTAGAAGCGCTATTTAGTATTATATCATCCTTTATGGTGTGAGTTAGTAAGTCTGGAGAGGATTGGAGTGGAATCAAAACCCTTGCCCCAGTTGGTATAAGGTTCTGGCAATGTATTTCTCTCTGGAGAGTATGCCTTTGTCATGGAGAAGAAGGCTTTGGGTTTATTCCAAGATGATTATTTTTCTCTCCTCATGCCAAAGCTATTAGGGGATATTTCTCATATCTTCTCCTTGTTAACCTGTTCTAGTTCTTGTAGGTAAGGCCTGTGAAAGTTCGGGGGCCCTAAAAATGTGGCCCCTCAAAAGATTCTAATTTTTATTCTAATCTATACTTAGTTTTCAACAATTCAGTAAAATTACCATATAACTGCCCCTAAGAGTTTATGGCTCCAGCAGCTTTCCTCCTAATTACCCAGACACAGTTTGTCTCTTAGGGGCCATCTAACTCCCTAGATTTCAAGTTGGCAGTTTGTCCTGGGACCTTAGTTCTGTGATAGGGCCAAGCAAAGTTATTGAATTCCAGCTGATTAAACTTTCTCCTGTAAAGACTGAAGTGAAGACTCTAAATTTTACATGTTGGAGCTGAAATCAAAAGTCCCTGAGGACTTCAAATTTATTTTTTATTCCTAAAATATTTCATATTACATAGAGTTACTTTAAGTACATTTAAAATACTCATGTAGAAGCTACGAATTTTGTTTTTAGTAGTCTATTATAAACAGGTCATTAAAGTAAATGACTACCCAAATGATGGCTAGTATGGTGTCATAATTTTTTTTTTTTGAGATGGAGTCTTGCTCTGTCACCCAGGCTGACGTGCAGTGGCACGATGTCAGCTCACTACAACCTCCGTCTCCTGGGTTCAAGCGATTCTCCTGCCTCAGCCTCCCGAGTAGCTGGGATTACAGGTATGTACCACCACACCCGGCTAATTTTTGTATTTTTAGTAGAGATGGGGTTTCACTATGTTGACCAGGCTGGTCTTGAACTCCTGACCTCAGGTGATCCAGCCCCCCTTGGCCTCTGAAAGTATTGAGATTACAGGCATGAGCCACCGCGCCTGGCCGCCATCATTTTTTATAACAACCTTTTTCGTTTTCTTATATTTCATTAGTTCATAAACTCATACACACACACACATAATATACACACCTATAGCATATAATTTATTTAATAAATGAGAAAAATAATGAACGAATAAGAGCAGCATAGACTAAAAAAAACAAAACCAATACATGTTAACTGAGCCCTGCTATGCATAATTGTTTATTTATTACACAAAGAAGTATGAGACACATTATTTTCAATTAAAGAATTTCAATATAATTGTGACAAAAAAGACTTATGAAAAGTTGAACACAAGAGTTAACAATACATTTACATATATAAGTAAGACCTTCAATTTTCCCTTCATTTCCTGACCATTTCGGTCCTAGTCAGTATGCATAGCAGAGGAAGGTAGGAGACTGCACCAGGGATAAGTGTTTCAGGGACATAGGTGGGATCTGAGAGCCCCAGCAACATGAGGAGGGAGTTCCTGCACACAGGGAGCCTTGCTTGAAGTGTCAGAGCCTGACAGTAGTGAGTAGAGTGACCATGCTCAGAAAGGGACAGTAGGGCATGAAGATTAGCCTAAATAGGTTGACAAAGATTCTGCACAGACGTGTGAGCTACCATGGGGAGTCAGAGCCCAAGTATAGTGAGAAGGGCATCCACGTGGGTTGCAGAGAATAAAAGTGGACAGAGAATGGGAGACTTTTCATATGTCTTATTGTCACAACTATATTTTAATTTATTGAATGAAAAGATAGTGCCTCCTACTGCTTTGTATAGCACATAGCAAGTAAATATATTAAGAATAATGGGAGACTGAGTTTCCATTGTCAGAGAAGACAATTAAAAATATAGAAAAAAAAAACTACAATGCAACAAGTACCATTAGTGTGGAATTAGAGATACTAGTATAAACTCATTGGTTTTAATATATAAAGGTTAATAAAAACTAATTGATATATATTTGGATGCGCATATGTGTAGGTGGATGATGCTCCCATAACAGTGAGTATACTGACTACCTAAATCTATGCTTTTAAATACTATTCTCCACCAATGGGACCAGGGTTCTGTGGGAGAAATTGCTCATTTTGGGGATAAAGAGGAAAAATACAAGATGCATCTAAAATTTCTCGTGCCAGGAAGCAAAGGGAGAGCTCAAAGAATATCGGGACATATTAAAATGACATATAAAGTGGACCTTCATTGGCCAAACTGGGGAAAATTTGAGCATCAAAATAAATAATGGCAATGATAAATTATAACCCATTGCATCAAATTGAGAACCACGAGTCCTCAGAGATAAAACTAAATAAATTAATAAATGGGAATTTTGATGAGAAATAGGATATTTATGTAGTTTGCAAAGTATTCCCTCATAAAACATTTATTATTAATTGCAAAGCTGAAAAGATTAATTTTACATTGGTGAATACTGGCAGACAGCCCTTTAATCAACTGATCAGTTACCATCAATAATGGGAAAAATCTAAATCACACACCAGCTGACAGAATGCAATGGGAAGAATATAGCCTCACTCTGTGATATCATATCAAAGACTCATAACCTGAAACTAAATAACTAACCAGAAGAAATAACCAAACAGTTTCAAATTGAAGGAATTCTCCAAGATGACTTGTTTTTAATCTTCAAAAGTGTTGAAGTCATGAAATTCAAAGAAAGGCTAGAGAACTATTTTAGAGTGAAGACCAAAAGACATGAAAACTAAAGGTAATGTGTGATTATGAACTGTATTCTTTTGATATAAAGGACACTATTTGAATAAGTTGAGAAATTTTAATTGGAAAAGAGCATAATAAAAACTATTACTAGTAATTTCCTAACTTTGATGTTTATGTTATGGTACTACAGAGAATCCTCCCTCTTCTTGTAGGAAACAAACATTAAAGCATCTGGGATACTGGAGAACCATTTTGCCAACTTAGACTCAAATTTTTCAGTAAGAAAATTATTTACATGGTAACTCCAACTTTTGAGATTGTTTAAGAAGAATAAAAATATGCTAGCATCATCAAAAGTACATGATTTGAGACTTCCGATTTAAGCTCAAAGATATACAGATCTGGGAAGAATGTCGGTACCTAGGAAAACTTAGATGAACTGCAAATTAATTCCTTTATTAAACCCATAGGAGAATTGCAGTCACAGGGCAATTAACTAATAAGAAATCTTGTAAAATAACATGAGCTTTCAGGGAGAAACAAAACCTGAGTATTTGCTTACTGGTGATACTACCAGGTATCGTATACACCAGTAATAAAATCAAGCTAAAAAATTAATGAATTGCTAAAGGGTGAATGTGGACTAATTGCTAAAGGCTAAGGGCTTGAAAGTGTGAAGCCCCTGAAGTTTCCAAATATAGGAGGCTGCACACCCTCTTTTAGGCTTTTCTTCCAAAAATTCCACCAGATGCTCACAGAAAAGATTGTCACGATACTAAAAAGTTTCACCTCTTGGCTATGGGTTAGAAGAGGGACAGAACAGCCACTGGCAAAATTCTGCACAACCCACATCCCCTATGTTCCCTAATCTATATTGGGGAGGATAACTACCTTAATCTATATTGGACAAGCAACAAAACTGTCACCTTGACTCAATGGTGAAGAAACAGAAGAGAAGAATTAGCTACACCCCTGGTGGAGGGGCAAGACTATATACTGGGCCCAGGACTAGAAATAGAGAGTAGACA
This sequence comes from Homo sapiens, assembly GCF_000001405.40. NCBI lineage: Eukaryota > Metazoa > Chordata > Mammalia > Primates > Hominidae > Homo > Homo sapiens. Next base: position 89,535,135 of record NC_000023.11, on the reverse strand, counting down.
GCAGCAATTTTGAAGGCCATGTCCCCGAGATCCAGTGACAGAGTGCATGCCTAAAACCAAGGCTTAATCAGAACATCAGATAATGCCTCATTATGTCACCACCCACTACCAAGTTAACAAGTGTTGAGTGAAAATAAGAGTAAAATACAACTTGAAGAGCTACAAGAGACAGGTTTTCTCCGGGGTACAACAACAACAACAAAAGAAAAGACACAGAACCAAAACCCAAATAGAAGCAGACATTGCCAAAATAACTTCTGGTAAAACTACTCAACCTTTTAAACACAACATATCACTGGAGGAATATACAGCCAAAGATGCAGCTGGCATAACCTTAACAACACCAGCTCACTCCTGACTATACTAACACAAACTTCAACAACAAAGGTCTAGCTGAAGAAAATGTGTGTTCATCATTAAGTATAAAAAATATTTAGCTCATTATTTACTGCCCTTTCTAACATGCCTGGCTTTCACAAAAATTACAAGAAATATTAAAAAGGAAGAAAAACACCCTTTCAAGTAGTATGACAATTATTAAAACAAGACTCAGGTATGACAAAGATGCTGACATTATTTCACAGAACATATTTAAAGTAATAATGAAATGTTTGTCTCTAATGATAAAAGTAGATGACATGAAATATCAGAGTGCTTTCAACAAGCTCATTGATAACTTGAATATAAATGAGGAAAGCACTCATGAACTTGAAGATAGATCAAGTAAAATTACCCAAATCAAAACACAGAGAGAAAAAAGTGTGTGTGTGTGTGCGCGCGTGTGTGTTTGTGTTTGTTGGGGGATCATGACAATACATTACAGAAATGTTGTGTTAACAAGAAGATCATGAGATTTGCAGAGGAATAAAGGAGAACTTTACTTTCTAAATTAAAAAAGAAACGAGAAAAACAACAAAGGAGTTGTACATAGGAGAAAAAAACAGTCTGAAGATTGAGGAGGCACAGCCATCATTAAAAATGAAAATGTGCTCTCTGAAGAAGAAAGAGAGGTCTGGCTTAAATAAGGAAAGTTCTTGCCTTGTTCTCAATCAGGTTCATTTATGCAAATAAAGGATTCAAACTTGTTCAGTTATGAATGACCAAAATAGTCGAGCCCTGATTGGGTGGTTTTCAAGCCCCAAACCGGAAGCCTCTTTCAGATGTTTCTTTCAAATAGCAAGGAGGAGGAAGAAAATTCTGGCTGTAATTTATCTTGGCAGTAAAAACAGAAACTGGTTTGGCCTGATTATAGAAACGGAGGTGCTGTGATGGCTGTCTTGAATGTCCTCAGTTAGCCATGGGGAGTCTATTTTGTCTGTTGGCCAGGAGCATACAAAAACCCAGATGTAAAGAAGAGAGATAACAGATAATAAAAATATATATATTTGAAGTAATGTGTCGGGATTGGTTCCTTCCGGTGGGTTCTTGGTCTCGCTGACTTCAAGAATGAAACCACAGACCCTTGCGGTGAGTGTTACAGTTTTTAAAGATGGTGTGTCCAGAGTTGGTTCCTTCAGATGTTCAGATGTGTCCAGAGTTTCTTCCTTCCGGTTGGTTCATGGTCTTGCTTGACTTCAGGAGTGAAGCCGCAAACCTTCGCAGTGAGTGTTACGGCTCTTAAAGGTGGCGCGTCCGGAGTTGTTTGTTCCTCTTGGTGGGTTCCTTGTCTCACTGACTTCAGGAGTGAAGCCGCAGACCTTCGCAGTGAGTGGTACAGCTCTTAAAGGTAGTGCGGACCCAAAGAGTGAGAAGCAGCAAGATTTATGGTGAAGAGCAAAAGAACAAAGCTTCCACAGTGTGGAAGGGGACCCGAGCGGGTTGCCACTGCTGGCTTGGGAGGCCAGCTTTTATTCCCTTATTTGGCCCTGCCCATGCCCTACTGGTTGGTCCGTTTTACAGAGTGCTGATTGGCCCATTTTACAGAGTGCTGATTGGTGCATTTACAATCCTTTAGCTAGACACAAAAGTTCTCCAAGTCCCCATCCGACCCAGAAGCTCATCTGACTTCACCTCTCAGTAACAATAACCAAGATTTCCCCAAAATTAATGACAGACTCCAAAATCAAGAATTAACTATAAAAATGATCAACCAGTAGCCCTTGGGGTTTTCTGCCTATGGAGTAGCCATTCTTTTATTTCCTTACTTTCTTAATAAACTTGTTTTTACTTTGCTCTATGGACTGGTCTCAAATTCTTTCTTGTGCAAGATCCAAGAACCCTCTCTTGGGGTCTGGAATCGGACCCCTTTTGTGTAACAACTTTCTGGTGAATGCTGAAGGGACAATAATGAGGAGACCATCCCAACCCAAAGGAAATAGACTGCAGCACTGATGGCCAACTTTAAGTAAGTGTTGGGGTACCCAGGTAGAGGATGGGATTGGATTAGAGGCCTAACTTAGGGGAGTTAGAGTCTCTCCTAAGACAGAGAGGGTTAAAGGCCTCTCTTAATAAAAGGCAAGGATGCTTGACCAAACATGGATTCAAGGCCCAAGGTTAAAGTCCCTCCTAAGATTTAGGGGGTTGGAGGTCCCTCTCAGTAAAGTTCCCCTCAGCGAAGAACAGGTTTGGCACTATGGGATGCTAACTGCTCTTCTCTTTGGATTAATCTGTCTTACACTCTGCTGACAGCTATGGGTGACAGGATTAGCCATGTACAGGATCACCGGACATGGGGAGATTTTTTCTCTCCCCAAAAGAGAACACTTGAGAGCCGATGGGGCTGCCAGAAAAGATCCTTTCATGACCCACAAGCAGCTGCCTGAACTTTTGATTCAGCATCACTGCAATGGGTGGGTATTTCTCTGACCTGAGTGCCTCACCTTCCCCACCCTGCTACAGACAATGCTTTTGTCTCTCTCTTTCTCTCCTTTCCCTTTATTATATTTTCTATTACTCAGGGCGACCTTCTTGCCCATTGACCCCATGTTGAAATTCCCAGTCAGAGGTTGAATTAACGATGATGAGGCCCAACCTGGGGCAACTTTGAGCCTCGCCAGTTTGATATTGGGTGCTAAGCAGAGTGGCTAATGTCTACGTTTTGTCACATGTGTTTTGCTCTGGCCAGAATGGAAAAAGATAATTTTCCTTTGTGTTGCAGCTTGTCCCCCAAGGCTATAGTGCAAAAAGTCAGGTCACTAGGCCCAATAAGGGAAAGGGAACCCAGAGCCTGGCATGCTAACAAAAGGGTAAGAATTTTTTGCCAGTCAGACTTCTGGCCTCTCTCTGTGCAAACTGGTTAAATAAATGGTAAAAAACACTGTTTTTCTCCTCTGTAGAATTTTGATTAGTGGAAAAAAGCATTTGTGATGCTAGTCTTAAGCTGTAGTGAATCTGGTGTGCTTTGTGTGTCTTCCTTTATTGTTCTGTCATAAAGAGTGGTACCTTAGGATAGAATGTGGGCCTAGGACACATGTAAGCTTGTTGATTAAGATGGCCCAGCAAACTGGTCAGTCACGTCTTTGGGAGCTTGATGTTGTGACCACGTGGCAGTACTTTCTCTTGGTCTCCACCACCACAGTGGTCGCCCAAGTTAAGGGTTCAATTCCTGTCTTAGGGAATGAGACCTTTCTGGTTTGATACCTGTGTGACCCTTACCATTTGTTTATTCTCTTCCCCTCAACAATCTGTCTTGAACTTTTATTTCTCTGAGCACAGAAATAAATACCTTTTGGCCTGGCTAAAGTAGGGTAATAAGAAATTTAAAAAGACTTTTATAAAGAGTGCTATAGCTAAAAGTCAGTTTAATTAAAACCAGATATTCAAGCTCTCACAGACTTGGACTCCTTGGGAAAAACAGAGGAGGCATCACAGACCCAGTTTTGGGGGAAAAAAACAGCACCTCTGTTTTCCTCATGAAACTCCAGGAATTGGAAGTGGATAGATTCCTTTCAAAATATAAGGCTTTGTTCTGTTTTGCATTGCATTATCTGACCTTTTTTGAGTTTTGTGAGTATCAGAAATTACTTCAAATTATGAGAGAACTTTGGTGTGTGGTAACTAGGTAGGAAATATAGTTTTGGGGATTGCTAACGGCAGTTATGGGGAGATACTCAGCTCTGTGCACATTTGGATCAGAGAAGCATGCTCTTGACTACCAGAAAAGTATGGAAATGTCCCCACCCCACAATGAGATATAAGGCTCCAATGGGAGATGGTCTGATTCCCTCTTTTTGGGATCCAGAATCTGGTATAACTACAGGACCCTTAATTTCTAGAGATCAGTTTTGCCTTCCAGTTGTGCCTGCCTATTAGGCTGCAGAAACTGCATGCTTTCCTGGCCCTGTTCCTCCAAAGGTTCCACCCTGAAGCCAAAAATCCAATTAGGAAGCTGGCAAATGAAAACTCTTACAAGTACTGGATCTTCTTCTGTATCTGTATTTATATGTGTTGTGTGTGTGATATAAAAAACTTTAATTCATTTAAAAATAGTGTTTAAATCACATATTTTATCAGAAAATTAAAAAGTGCAATGCTTTTTAGTTCATAGGACTTAAATAATCTTTGAGAAATAGAAACAGCTTTAAAGATTATTGGTAAAATAAAGATATTTCGTCTAAATCAGGTAGGCAAGATATTAAGTTTACTAAATGCTTTAAGGTCATATACTGCTTCTTTGACTTTTGAAAATTGTTCACTTTACCTACTTTGAAGCATTAGATTCTTGATAAGACATGGAGACATGTGGAGCGCCATGCATCCCAGCTGTGCCGGAAAGATTAAGCCCTTATCTGCACTTCTGTCTGATGTCCTAAGCTCCACACTTGATACATAATTACAATCGCCTACTAACCAAGTTTTTCACCAAAAGCAAAAGTTCCTAAGAGTTAACAGTGTAACATGTATTTGAGGCTACTAAAGAAACAGTTCTACATGCAAGGCATATAAGGAATGTAGAATATACGTTTGGTAAAAGATTATAAGAAGGCATGGGAGTGTGGATTTCTTGCTTAAGTTTAGAGGGTTAAATTATTGTTTCAAGTTAGAATTTTGTAAAATAAATTCTATGTCTGAACATACTGGCTAAATTTAAAGGGGTATACAGTTTTCCTGTAAATTGAACATTTATTGAACAATTGAATGAAAATAAAAGCACAATAGCTTTTTCTTACCACTGATCTGCTTTTTAATAAAAACTTGTAAAGTGTTACAAAAGGCTTATGAGAATCTTACCTTATGGTCAAACATTAAAATTGGTTAGAAATGTCTATAAGGTTTTATTAAGGATAGGGTTTAACATTAATAGTACATTAATGTAAAAGTGACATTTGACTTATTTGGTATAAAAATCATACAGAAAGCATTGTCAAATATGAAATGGTGTTTGGCTTTCTTTGGGCTGTATGTGTATAAATGTGCCATTGGTATGTGTTCCAAAATTATGAGGAACTCCCATAATTCTATTATGGCTTAGTGTGTTATTAATAATTGTTACGTGAAATTGTTGTATGCCACAGAAGTAACCAAAATTCCTAGTCAATTGTGGTTTTAATAGAGGCTGCCCTAGGGCATTTTATCATCCACAGACAATTGTTGTTTTGTATTAGTCCTCTTTAGAAGGTGGTTTTTATAATCAACTATAGGACTTTAACAGGTACTCTTGAATGCAGGTTTCTGATAGCTTTGGAGATTGTAACATCAGAATAGAGGAAAAACTTCCAGGACTCTCATGGAGAGCTGAAATATTCATGAATATCAAGAAGAACAGGAGTTAACTACATGAACTGGACTAATAAAAGATGGAAGTAATTATTTTTTGACTTTGCTTAAAAACATTGCCCATCCTTTGTTTTGTTTTCAGAGTCAAGGAAACTTTTCATTTGAGTTGTCTACAGATTTTAACAATTGTGTAAAGTGTACTCCTGTGAGCAACATTTAGAGCATATTTGTTTCTCTCTACCTGATTTCTCCAAAATTTGGAAACTATTTGTATCTTAAATTGTGGCAATATATTTATTTTGCATAAGTTCCATAAGAATGTTTTATTTTGCAACAGGACACAAGTGGATAAATTGTTTATTTTACAAGGCTTTGACTAGAATGGCATGCTTTCTTTTAAGGAATCAAATTTGACATGGAGAGCCAATAGAAGCCCCTTGGGAAAACTGGCCTCATACCTTGTCTATAGAGTTCCTATACAGGGTTCCTGACCTGGGATAAGTAAAGAATATTACTTTCTGACAGGCCCAGGAGCCCCAAGTTATCTTGGGACCTCAAGAGGAGAGGAATTTACCCAACTCATAGATATTTGACAGTACAACCCCATCGCTGGGCTCAGTTTTAAAAGAAAAATGTCTTATATGAGATTTCTTATGGAACAGAGTTCAATCAAAGTCAATTTAGAAAGCCTATGTGAAAAATAGTTATTCTTGCTCTTCTTTATTCAAATAATCAGGCCAAGTTTAATAAAGCAAGCCAGTCTTACTATGATTTATTTTTAGTGAAAATGGGAGACTGGAGAAATAAACTATATTTCAAGAACTATGGTACACTCATTATTAGATTCTAGTCTCATCAGATGTGGAATATATTTGCTATTGTACTCTTTGTGTAGGAATGAAGGGTAAGCTTACTCAATATTTTCTTAAATTGAATAATTAATAAATTATAAACTTTTGTAGGAACTCAGAGGTATGAATGACCTTCACCATACTGACACTTTATGACTGGGCTCCTCTCTACCTGTAATACAAGAGACCCTAATAGCTAGGCAGGAATAATATCACCCCTATTCAGCCTGAAGAAGTTACAGAAGATGGATCTTTGCTCCTCAACAACTCTCAGGATTAAGGGATCTCTTATAAAAGAGATGGGGAAAATGTCAGAGGTGTTTGAACCAGAGCAACTCCATCTTAAATAGGGGCTGGATAAAATAAGGCTGAGGCATACTGGGCTGTATTCCCAGATGGTTAGGCCTTCTAAGTCACAGAATGAGATAGGAGGTTGGCACAAGATACAGGTCATAAAAACCTTGCTGATAAAACTGGTTTCAGTAAAGAAGCTGGCTAAAACCCAGCAAAACCAAGATGGTAATGAGAATGACCTCTGGTTGTCCTCACTGCTACACTCTCATCAGTGCCATAACAATTTATAAATGCCATGGCAATGTCAGGAAGTTACCCTATATGGTCTAAAAAGGGGAGGAACCTCAGCTCTGGGAATTGCCCACCGCTTTCCTGGAAAACTAATGAATACTAAAAATGGGCAACCATTTTTATGGTTATTTCTTGATTAGTCATTCTTTTATTCCTTTACTTTCTTAATAAACTTGTTTTCACTTTGCTTTATGGACTCGCCTCAAATTCTTTCTTCTGTGAAATCCAAGAGACCTCTCTTGAGGTCTGGATTGGGACCCCTTTCCAGTTACACTACCAGTTCTAGCCCACTAGAAATGGTAAAAAATCAGGAAGAACAGATATGATAAAGGTCAGAGACTTGATTCTATAAAAATTAATGAAGAACACAGTAAATGGATTAAATAAAAGTAAAATTAAATGGGTTATTTTAATTTTAATTGCTCTAAAAGATAACACAAAAATAGAAGTATTTTTGTGTTATTAGCATATACAAAATTAAAATATATTACAAAAATATCACCAAGAATGTGAGGGAAGAATTGAACAAATACTGTAATAAGTTTCTTCACATTAAAAAAAAAAACATTCAAAATCAACAAATTTTTGCTCTGTCATCAGAGAACTGAGGTCATAGGACAAACTGCTGCCCTGAACACTGGAGAGACAGACAGCTTACTGGACAAAAGTTTAGGAGCAGAAGCCCACAATTGGATTTAGTATTGGTTAGAACACTTTAACTTTAATTGACATATTGCTGGAGGTTAAGTGTAGACAGACTTGACAGGAGGCCCAGTGGGTATAATCAAATGCAACTTTATGAAATTTTGGCAAATTTCTCCCTAAAATAGTTATACCTCTTTATATCTGTACCCTATGTGTCCGAGAATACACAAGACTCTACATTGCTGCTAACACTTTGTACTGTCAAACTTTGTTTTGCTATGTTCATAATAAACAAGACATGGTAACAGTGTGATTTTGAGTTTTCCTGATTATAAATGAGATTGAGAATTCATCCATATTTTTCAGTCATGTAAGTGACTTGTGTGAATTGACTGCCTATATCCTTCGCTTATTTTTCATTTTTTAAAATACATTGATTTGTAGAAGTTGCTTATATGTTCCAGAAACTAATCACTTCATGTTTATATGCACTGAAACTACATTCCCTAACTGTCGTTAGTTTATTGTTAAATTGTGGAAATAGTGTCATTATACAAACTTTTTTAATACTCAAATTTATCAGTACAATTATCAGTCTTTTCCTTTATGCTTGTACTTTATTCATGTCAGGAAATTTTGACTTAAACTAATTCAACAAAATACTTACCAAAATGTTCTTAAAATATTTTTAAGTTTTGCCTTTCACATTTAGGTCTGTGATCTTTTTGCTAATTACTGATTTGTTATTTCTTTTGGTTTCTGTTTGTTTTTATGCTACAATTAAAGGCTCAGTTATTTTCCCATTTAGAGAATCTGTAGTCCCAATACCAGTTTTTAAAAATTTTTCTTGTCTATTTAAAAAATATATTATATGTTGACAAATTACAGTTGTATACATTTACAAAGTACAAAGTGGTATTACAATTTTTAATACAATGTGAAAAATTAAATTAAACTAATTAGCATATATATAACCACAGATATTTAATATTTTTTTGTGATGAGAATGTTAAACATTTACTCTTTTAGTGATACTGAAATCACTCTTTTAGTGATACTTAGTGCACTGCGGTGAACATGGCTCACTTCAGTCTAGACCTTCCAGGCTCAAGTGATCCTCCTACCTCAGCTTCCAGAGTAGCTGGGACCCCAGATGTGCACCACATTTCCTGGTTGTTAAAAATATATATAAGTATGTATTTTGTAGAGACAGGGTCTCTCTATGTTGCCCAGGCTACTCTCGAACTACTGGGCTTAAGTGATTCTCCTGCCTCTGCCCCTCAAAGTGTTGGGATTACACACATGAGTCATCATACCAAGCCTTGCTAATTTATTAATCATATTATTGTTTTATGTCATCAAAACATTGAGTTGTTGTAAATAAAATAGAAGTAATGCCTTAAAGTAGTTTTCTTTTCTTCTTTTGAAAAATATTATTTTTTCATGTGATTAAGGAATATTAGTGTTTATTTCTGTGTATCCTGTATGCATTTATAATTCTCTCTTTGCACAATTTATATGTCTTGTCTTTTTAAATGTTGTTGTTTTCTTAGTTTGTATAAGCTCTTTCTATATCAGGAATATTACATATTGTTTGTGATATAAAAATTATAACTTTTCCAATTTGACTTTCCATTGGTTATTTCACCTATTTTTTTATTTTTAGATAATATAATTTATTAAAAGCAAGCAAAAAGTAGTGAATAATAAACATGAGAAGAGAAATAAATACAATAAAGACTAGGAAAATAATAGACACAAAACAATACAACCAAAATTTGCTTATTTGAAAACATTAACAAATTGGCAACTATCGCTAGACTTACTAAAAATAAAAATACAAATGACTCAAATGAGTTAAATTTAGAATAAAAGAGGGATATTTTTACAGACATTACAGAAACAAAGATGATTATAAGAAATAACATGAACAACTGTATGAAAGCAATTTAGATACCTTAGATGAAATAGATGACCACAAATACAAAACTTCTAAAACCCCCTTAAGAAGAAACAGAAAATATATTCCAACCAGTAACAATAAAGCTTTTATAACAGTAATTTTAAAAGTTCCCGTAAATAAGAGTTGAGGACTAAGTGCCCTTATTGTTTAATTTTACCAAAAGCTTAAGTAATCAACACCAATCTTAAACAAATATTTACAATAAAATAAAAGAGAAAAAAAATTTAACCCATTATATATGGTCTGATTAAAAAAAATACGTCATCTCAAGAAAAGAAAAACAACTACATACCAATATTTCTTACCAATATATGTGCAATAATCTTCAAGAAAATATAAGCAAACCAAATCCGACAACGTATAAAAAAGATTAGAGGCCATTGGCATAGGCACAAGCAGGAATGCTACAGCCCCACTCCTGCCAGTATGCCATGCCAGCCCATGCGTGTGCACCCCGCCACACTGCTGCAGCTGCTGGCACACACAAGCAAGCATGGATCCCACTGCCACTATGCCAACAAAATGCTTTAGCCAGCACTGCCAATCAAAGTGTTGTAGCTAGTGGACTGGGAACATATTGGACCCTGCAGCATATCAGGTTTTTAAACTCGAGGGGCCACAGAACAAAGCAAGCGGCCATATATCAGCCCCCCTCAGAGTTAGGACACACAGTCTAAGAGTTGAGACTTATCCCCTTAAAATCTTCCAGAAATAAAGCTAGTTGATTGAACCTACTTTATACCACAATCAAACCCCCAAAGGCATCAAAGAAGATAAAGGTAAAAACCCCATCCAAAGGAAGACAACTTCAAAGACTGAAGGAACATCAAAACAATGAAAAGAAATAACCAGCACAAGAACTCTGGTAACCCCAAAAGACACAGTGTCCTATTTTCTCCAAACAAACCCACTAGTTCCTCAGCAGTGTTTCCTAACCAGGCTGAAATGGCTGAAATGACAGAAATATAATTCAGAAAATGGATAGGAATGAAGATCATTGAGATTTGGGAAAATCTGAAACCCAATCCAAGGAATCTAAGGATACGATAAAACAATGAGCTCAAAGACAAAAATGATCATTTTAAGAAGAAAACTAAACTCATCTAACAGAGCTGAAAAACTCATTTCAAATATTTCATAATACAATCTCTAGTATTAACAGTAGAATCAACCAAGGTGAGGGACAAATCTCAGAGCATGAAGACCAGGTCTTTGAAAACACTCAGATAAAAGTAAAGAGAAAAGAATAAAGAAGACTGAAAAAATTTCTGAGAAAAACAGGATTATGTAAAGAGACCAAATTTATGACTCATTTACATCCCTGAAACAAGAAGCAAAAACAAGTAACTTGGAAAAGTTATTTGAAAATATCATCAATAAAAATTTCCCCAGTTTTGCTAGAGAAGCCAATATTAAAATTCAAGAAGTGCACAGACCCCCTGGAAGATACTATACAAGACAACTATCCCTAACACACATTGTTATCAGATTCTTCAAGTTTGAAATAAAGAAAAAATGATAAAGGCAGCAAGAGGGTGGGAGCAGGTCACCTACAAATGGTATCCCATCAGGCTGATAGTGGACCTTTCAGCAGAAACACTGCAAGCCAGAAGACATTGGTGGCCTATATACATTATTCATAAAGGAAATAAATTTCAATCACAAATTTTATTCCTGCCAAAATAAGCTTAATACACGAAGGAGAAATAAGATCATTTTCAGAAAAACAAATGCTAATGAAATTCATTACAAACAGTTCTGCTTTACAAGAAGTCCTTAAGGGAGTGCTAAATATGGAAAGACCATTACCAGCTACCAGAAAAAGACATGTAAGTACATGAATCATTGACATATAAAGCAAGTACACGATCAACTCTGCATATTAGCCAGCTAGGAACAAGATGACAGAATTAAATCTGTACATATCAAGATTAACCTTGAATGTAAATGAGCTAAATGCCCCAAATAGAAGGCACAGAGTGGCAAGTTGCATAAAAAAGGAAGACCCAATGGTATCCTGTCTTCAAAAGATCTCTCTCATATGCAATTACACCCATAGGTTCAAAGAGAATGGATGCAGAAAAGCCTGGCAAGTAAACAGAAAACAGAAAAAAGCTAGGATTGCTATTCTAATTTCAGACAAAACAGACTTTAAACCAACAAAGATCAAAAATGACAAACAAAGGCATTACATAATTGTAAAGTATTTAATTCAACAAGAAGATATTACTATCTTAAGAATATATGCACCCAAAACAGGAGCACAGAGCTTTACATACTTAGTACTTTATAACTTATAAGGAGACTTAGATTACCACACAATAATAGTGGAAACTTTAGTAATCCAGAGACAGTATTAGACAGATCATTGAGGCAGAAAAATAACAAAAGATATTTGAGACCCGAACTCAACACTTGACCAAATAGACATCTACAGAACTCTCCACCCCAAAACAACAGAACATACACTCTTCTCATCTGCACATAGCACATACTCTAAAATGGAGCACAAAATCAGTCATAAAAAAATTCTCAACAAATTATAAAACAAAATTATACCAACCACACTCAGACCGCAGCACAGTAAAAATACAAATCAATACTAAGAAAATTGCTCAAAACTGTACAATTACATGGAAATTAAACAACATGCTCCTGATTTACTTTTTGGTAACTTTTTGGTAAATATTGAAATTAAGGCAGGAATCAAGAAATTCTTTGAAACTAATGAGAACAAAGGTACAACATATCAGAATCTCTGATACATAGATAATGTTAAGAGGGAATTTTACATTGCTAAATGCACATATCAAAAAGTTAGAAAGATCTCAAATTAACAACTTAACATCACAACTAGAAGAACTAGAAAAAGCAGAGCAAACCAACTCCAAAGGTAGCAGAAGACAAGACATAACCAAAGTTAAGAACCGAACTGAAGGAAATTGAGACACAAGAAACCATACAAAAGATCAACAAATCTAGGTGTTGATTATTTCAAAATAATAGATTGATAGACCACTGAATACACTAATAAAAAAATATATGATATAAATAAATAAAATCAGAAATGACAAACGGGATGTTACCACAGCCCCCAGAAATATAAAATTCCTCAGAGATTGCTTTGAACACCTCTACACACCAAGCTAAAACACTTTGAAAAAAATAAATTCCTAGAAACATAGAACATCTCTATACTAAACTACAAAAGTATTGAATCTCTGAACAGACCAATTATAAGTTCCAAAATTGAATGAATAATAGAAAGCCTACCAACCAAAAGAAGCTGAGGACCAGATGGATTCACAGCTTAATTTCTACAAGTATAAAGAAAGGCTGGTACCATTCCTACTGACACTAATCTAAAATATTGAGGAGGAGGGACTCCTACCTAACACATTCTAGGAGGCCAGCATCACTCTAATATCAAAACCTGATAAATACACAAAAAGAAAGCTTTAGACTAATATATTTGATAAACAGAGATGGAAAAATCCTCAACAAAGTATGAGCAAACCAAATTTAGTAGCACATCGAAGAGCTAATCCATCATTATCAAGTAGGCTTTATCCCTAGGGTGAAAGATTGTTTCAACATAGGAAAATCAATAAATTTAATTCATTACATAAAAGGAACTAAAAACAAAACTAACACAATTATCTCAATAGATGCAGAAAAGGGTTTTGATAAAATTTAACATCTGTTCATCTTAAAATCCTCAACAAGCAAGGTATTGAGGAAACATACAACAAAAAAGCTTTCTATGGCAAACACATAGTCATCATCATACTGAATGGGCAAATGCTGGGAACATTCCCCTTGAGAACTGGAACAAGACAAAGATGCCCACTCTCACCACTTCTACTCAACATAAGACTGGACTGGATATTTTATGCCAGGCAAGAAAAAGTAATAAAAGATATCCCTATAGCAAGAGAAGCAAGAGAGGAAGTCAAACTATCTTTTTGCACCTAATATGATTCTTTACCTAGAAAATTCCATAGTCTCTTTCCAAGAACTCCTAAGTCTGAAAAACAACCTTAGAAAATTACCTGGATACAAAATCAATGTGCAGAAGTTAGTAGCATTTCTGTACACCAACAACTACTAAAGTGAGAGGCTAATCAAGAACATAATGTCATACGCAATAGCCAGAAAAAAAAAAACAATAAAATACCAAGGAATACAGCTAACTAGGGAAGTGAAAATCTACAATAAGAATCATAAAACACTGCTCAAAGTCAGAGATGACACAAACAAATGGAAAACATTTCATGCTCATGGACAGGAAGACTCAATATTGTTGAAATAATCATACTGCCCAAAGCAATTTATGGATTCAATGCTATTCCTTATCAAACTGCCAATGATATTCATTACAGAATTAGAAAACCTTTTGTAAAATGTGTATGGAACCAAAAAGAGCCAGAATAGCCAAAGTAATCCTAAGAAAAATGAAGAAAGTTGGAGAAATCACATTACCCAGCTTCAAACTATAATACAAGGCTACAGTAACCAGAACAGCATGGTACTTGTTGAAAAATAGGCACACAGACTAATTGAACAGAATAGAGAGCCTAGAAATAAAGCAGCGTATCTACAACCATCTGATCTTCAAAAAATTTGGCAAAAAAAAAAGCAACAGGGAAAACACTCCCTATTTAATAAGTGGTGATGTAATAACTGGCTAGCCATAAGCAGAAGATTAAAACTGGACTAATTCCTTGTGTCATATACAAAAATCAACTCCAGATGAATCAAAGACTTAAATGTAAAACCTAAAACTATAAAATCATTGGAATATAAGTTAGGCAATATCTTGTTCATAGGACCTGGCAAAGATTCATAATAAAGATGGCAAAAGCAATTGCATCAGAAACATAAATTGACAAGTGGGACCTAATTAAATTAAGAGCCTCTATATTACAAAATAAACTATCAACACAGTAAACAGACAACCTACCAAATGGGAGAAAATATTTGCAAACTATGTGTCTGCTGATGGTCTAGTAGCCGGAATCTATAAGAAACTAACAAATTAACAAACAAAAAAGAAATAACCCCATTAAAAATGAGCAAAGAACATTAACAGACACTTTTCAAAGAAAACTTACATGCAGCCAAAAAGCACATAAAAAATGCTCAAAATCACTATTTGTTAGAGAAATGCAAGTCACAACCACAATGAGATACCATCTCACACAAGTCAGTATGGGCATTATTAAAAAGTCAAAAAAATAACAGATGCTGGTGAAGTTGTAGAGAAAAGGGAACACTTATATATAGCCGGTGGGAATGTAAAGCAGTTCAGTCACTGCAGAAAACAGTTGCCAATTTCTTGAAAAACTTGAAACAGAACTACCATTTGACCCAGTGATTATATACCCAATGGAATAGAAATCATTCTACTATAAAGACACATGCATGCATATATACATCGTGGCATTATTGACAATAACAAGACATGGAATTAAACTAAATGTTCATCAATGGTAAACTGGATTTATTAAAAATGTGGAAAATATACATAATGGAATACTATTCAGCCATAAAAAGAATGAGTTTACAGACTTAAACATAAGACCTAAAACCATAAATATCCTAGAAGAAAACTTAGGCTATACCATTCAGGACATAGGCATGGGCAAAGACTTCAAGTCTAAAACACAAAAAGCAATGGCAACAAAAGCCAAAATTGACAAATGGGATCTGATTAAACTAAAGGGCTTCTGCACAGCAAAAGAAACTATCATCAGAGTGAACAGGCAATGCACAGAATGGGAGAAAATTTTTGCAATCAATCCATCTGACAAAGGGCTAATATCCAGAATCTACAAAGAACTTAAATAAATTTACAAGAAGAAAAGAACCCTGTCAAAAAGTGGATGAAGGATGTGAACAGTGACTTTTCAAAAGAAGACATTTATGCAGCCAACAAACATATGAAAAAAAGCTCATCATCACTGGTCATTAGAGAAATGCAAATCAAAACCACAATGAGATACCATCTCATGTCAGTTAGAATGGTGAACATTACAAAGTCAGGAAACAACAGATGCTGGAGAGGTTGTGGAGAAATAGGAACGCTTTTACACTGTTGGTGGGAGTGTAAATTAGTTCAACCATTGTGGAAGACAGTGTGGTGATTCCTCAAGGATCTAGAACCAGAAATACCATTTGACCCAGCATTCCCATTACTGGGTATATATCCAAAGGATTATAAATCATTCTGCTATAAACACACATGCACACGTATGTTTATTGCAGCACTATTCACAATAGCAAAGACTTGGAATCAACCCAAATCTCCATCAGTGATGGACTGGATAAAGAAAATGGGGCACATATACACCATGGAATGCTATGCAGCCATAAAAAAGGATGAGTTCATGTCCTTTACAGGGACATGGATGAAGCTGGAAACCATCATTCTCAGCAAACTAACACAAGAACAGAAAACCAAACACCTCATGTTCTCACACATAAGTAGGAGTTGAACAATGAGAACACATGGACACAGAGAGGGGGAGGGGAACATCACACACTTGGGCCTGTCGGGGGGTGAGGGGCTAGGGAAGGGATAGCATTAGGAGAAATACCTAATGTAGGTGATGGGTTGGTGGGTGTGGCAAACCACCATGGCACGTGTATACCTATGTAACAAAACTGCATGTTCTGCACATGTACCACAGAACTTAAAGTATAATAAAAATAATAATAATAATAATGAAAAGAATGAGATCGTGTCCATTGCAACAACATGGATGGAGCTGGAGAAAATTATCCTAAGCATACTGACACAGGAATAGAAAACCAAATACTGTATATCTTCACTCATAAGTGGAAGCTAAACCCTCAGTACATGTGAACATAAAGAAGGGAACAACAGACACCAGGGCTACTTGAGAATGGAGGAATGAGAGGAGGCTGAGGATTGAAAAAAACACATAGCAGGTACTGTACTTCTTACCTAGGTAAGAAAATAATGTGTATACCAAACTCCCCAAACAATTTACCTATGTAATATATCTACACATGCACCTCTGAACCTAAAATGAAAGCTAAAAAAAAATTCCAGAATAATTGAAAAATGCAAATAGTTTGCACATCACGAAGTGAGATTTACTTCACTTTTGTGTATTATAGCATTTAATATAATAAAGAACAAATAAATACTTGACCATATGAAGAAGAAAAATTATGACAAAGTTATTCACCCACTCATGATTAAAAACCTTCTAATTCTTAATAGAAGTGAACTTCCTCAACCTGATGGAGAACATCTGTAATACACTCGTAACTAGCATAATAATGAATTTTAAAAGAATTAGAGATTTTTCCTAATATCAGGAACAAGATTACAATGTTTTTTCTCATGGTTCAACACTATTGAGCAGGTTATAGCTATGACAATGAGGCAAGGAAAAATTTTTTTTAAGTATCCAGATTGGAAATGAACAGAGAAACCTATATCTGTATGCAGATAAAATGATTTTATACAGAGAAAATTCTTAGAAATAAAATTTAAAAACTGTTAGAACTAATAAATAAGTGTTCTACAAAGTTGCAAGACTCATGAATAATATACAAAAATTGTTTTTCTATAAATAATTCAAAATGAAAAAGAAAAAAATTTCATTAAACAGCATCAAAAAAATAGAACAATTAGAAATTAATTTAACAAAACACATGCAGGACTTGTACATTGAAAAGAACAAAATATTATTAAAAGTAGTTAAGATCTAAATAAACAAAAAGATATTTCTTGTTTATGGAGTGAAACACAAAATATTGCTAGGCTGGCAGTAGTTTTAAAATAAATCTCAAAAATCAGTGCAATTCCTATAAAAATCTCTACAGATTTTTCTGAAATTGACATAAGTATACATTTTATATGAAGATGTAATTGGCCCAGAATAGCCATAACAATTTGAAAAGGAAAACCAATTGTGAGGACTCACACTTTCTGATTTCAAAACCTACTACAAACCAGCAGTAAGTCAAGACACTATAGTACTGGCATAAAAATAGACATATAGCTCAATTCAACCAGTTAAAAATCTATAAATAAATTCTTCTGTTTTTGTTATACTGATTTTTTTTTACTTTTTTTCTAGCTAGTTTATTGAGGAAACCATAATCTGTTCAATCTATAGTGCTGGGACAATTAGATATCCACATACTAAACAGGATCCACACCCACTACATGCTACATCAATAACAAAGAATCAGGGAAACAGGATACCACCAAAAGAAAATAAATTTCCAGTAACTGACCTCAAATTAATGGAGACCTATGAATTGTCTGAAATATAATTCATACTAATAAATGTGAGGCCAGGTTCAATGGCTCAAATCAATAATCCCAACACTGTGGGAGGCCAAAATGGGAGAATTGTTTGAGGCCAGTAGTTTGAGACCAGCCTGGGAAACAAAGTGAGACCTCATTTCTACAAGAAATAAAGAAAAGTAACTGAGTGTAGTGGCATGAACTTTTAAGTCCTAGCTACTTGAGGGGCCAAGATAGGAGAATCACTTGAGCCCAGGAGTTTGAGCCTACAGTGAGCTATGATTGCATCACTGCACACCAGCCTGGGTGACTGAGTGAGATCCTGTCTCTAAATAATAGTAGTAATAATAATAATAAATGTCACACAGTACATTAAAAGTATGCAGGATATAAAACGTGGCCATCTTAATAGATGCAGTAAAAGCATTTGACACAATTCCACATCCTGTCATAATAAATATGCTTTGCAATTTATGTATAGAAGAAATGTATTTCAATATAACAAAGGCTGTATACAACAAGCTCACAGCTATCATTATACTCAATGGTTTACTGAAATGCCAGGTGGTTGATCTAGGTCCCATTGCTCACCACACAGAAAGCCAGTCACTGAGGTTAGCATTGCCAGGGAAGAAGGCTTTATTCAGGTGCTGCAGCAGAGGAGATGGGAGATAAGCCTCAAATCCATTCCCTAACCAACTAAAATTGGGGGTTTAAATAGTGAGGAAGAAATGTAGCTATGTGAAGGAAAACAAAAATTAGGGAGGGGTAAGGAAGAGGAGTTGGTCAACAGGAAGCAGGTGGCCAGTTAGGAAAACAGAAATTAAGGAGTTTCAGTATCTTGACACTACTTGTGAGGCCTCAGGATCAGTTTTCTGTGAAAGGAACTCATAAGACAAATGTAAGTTTCAAGCTTTAAGACTAGGATGGCCAGGCATGGTGGCTCAAGCCTGTAATCCCAGAACTTTGTGAGGTCAAGGTGGGCAGATTACCTGAGGTCGGGAGTTCGAGACCAGCCTGAGAAATATGGAGAAATGCCATCTCTACTAAAAATACAAAATTAGCCAGGCCTGGTGGTGCATGCCTGTAATCCCAGCTACTTGGGAGGCTGAGGCAGGAGAATCGCATGAACCCAGGAGGGAGAGATTGCAGTGAGCCAAGATTGCACCACTGCACTCCAGCCTGGGCAACAAAAGCTAAACTCAGTCTCAAAAAAAAAAAAAAAAAAAAAAGGAGGACTAGGATAGTGATTGTGTTCTGTGTGGGAAATGCATGAAGGGGAAAGAAAAGACACATACACAATACCTTTAAAGGTAAACAATCTTTATCCTATGCTTTATCCTACGTAAATGGCAATGCAGATATAATAAGAAAATGGCATAATAAGCAAATTATATGATAAGCAAATTGCAATGGGAAGGGGAGAAGGAAATGTATATATAGTTACACTCACTAGACTATGGAGGATTCATCACCAGATCGGGAAGCAATAGCCTGGGATCCAGAGTTGGTCACTCGACCATGCACAGATGAGGAGAGGTCTCATGGAGCTTCTGTGTGGTCTGGGACCCTAGCCCTTTTGTAGTATTCCTTTCTTGGCCTGAGGCCCAGGAATGAGGGCCCTTCATGACTGGGCTCAGGGAACACAGGAAGGTTAGCCTATTCTCTAGATTCTGTTGTTTGCCTTAAGGCAGAAAATGTACCTTACGAAAACAATCAGTATAGGTTACTAGCTCCTGGGCAGATGCCCAGGGGCTGTTTACGGGCACGTAACCATTCTTTGTGTTCAAGTTCAATTGAGTTCAAAGTTAATATTTAACTCTTCCTCCACAGATGGTCAATTTCTATGTTTATTAAAAAAAGTAAACATTAATTTCATGGGGAAATTGGGTCAATTTCAAATGGAGAAAAGCTTAAAACCATTATGAAAAACAGTATGGAGTTTCTTAAAAATGTTAAAACTAGAGCTACCACATAATGCACCAACTCTACTTCTGCATATCAGTCCCAAAGAAATAAAATGAAGTTTTCAAAGAGATACTTGCACTCCCATGTTCATTGCAGCATTACTAACAATAGCCAGGTTATGGAATCAACCTAAATGTCCATCAAGGGATGATAAATAAAGAATAATGTGTCATATATAAAAAATGGAATACTATTCAGACTTTAAAAAAGGAAATCCTCTCATTTGTGACAACATGGATATACCTGGAGGACATGATGTTAAGTGAAATAAGTCAAGCACAGAAAGACAAATAGTGCATGATCTCATTTATATGTGAAATCTAAAATAAACTAATAGAAGCAGAGAGTCAAATGGTGGTTACCATGAGTTAGGTGTTGGGAAGGGGTGAGAGTGGGAGATGTTTGTCAAATGATACAAAATTTTAGTTAGCAGGAGAAATAAGTTCAATGTATTCCACAAAAATGGTGACTATAGTTGAGAGTAGATTTTAAATGGTTGCATTCTCCAAATATGGTAAGTAAGTAAGTGATATAATAGATATACTAACTAGCTTTATTTAGCCATTCTGCAGTGTGAACATATTTCAAAGTATCATGTTTTATGCCATAAATATCTATCGATTTTAGTAATTAAATTTTAAAAATAGTAATCTCCCCCTCCCCCCCCAAAAAAGAAAAAAAGGTACAAAAAAGTCCTGGGAAGAATGTTTATGAAACACTACTTAAAGACTTTTATTCATAATTTACAAGAAATGTTTACAACTGAATATTAAGAAATGAACAACCTAATCAAAAAATGGGCAAAAGATTCAAATAGACAGTTTACCAAAGTTGATGCACAAATGGCTAATAAACACATTAAAAATATCTATATCACAATTCATTTGGCAATACGGATTAAAACCCAAATGAGATATTATTTCACGTTCATTACAATGGCTTTAATCAGTAACAGGACATAATGCATACTGGTGAGAGTGTGGAGAAGAAGGTCTTCATATATTATTGACAGGACTGTAAATGTTACAGCCACTCTGCAAACTATTTTACTTCTTAAGAAATTAAACATAAAACTACCATAATACTCAGCAATTATTTTCCTATCTAGAAAAATAAAGACATATATTTACACAAATACTTGTATATGCATGTCCATAGCAGCATTAATTCATAATTTTTCAAAACTAGAAACAACTCAAATGCTCATCAACCATTGAGCAGACAGCCAAATGACTTATAGTCACACAATTGAATGCTGTTCAGCAGTAAAAACAGAACAAATATTGATGCATGCTACATCATGGAATAATTTTAAAAACATTACACCGAGCAAGAGAAGCCAGATTCTAGAGCTCACATGTTGTAAGATTCCATTTATATGAAATATCTAGGAAAGACATTTACAAAAACAGATTAGTGTTTGCCTGTGTGTGGGGATAGGAACAGGGATTAATTGAAAATGAACAAGAGAAATCTTATTCAGTGGATAAAAATGTTCTAAACAGATTTATGATGGTGGTTTTATGACTCAGTAAAGCAGCTAAAATCTTTCAAATACATATTTAAAACTAATGAATTTTATAATTTCTAAAATGAAGCTCAATAAAACTGTTAAAATGAAATTAAACCTCATGCAATGAGTGTACATTTGTCCAATTTTGCTTTGTACATTTTGCGGCTATATTATGTGGTATATATAAATACCTTCTTGGGGTCTAACCCTTCTTCCATGACAAAATCTTTCTCTTTCTCTAGTAATGTTGCTTCTATAAAGTGTACTTTTACTAAAATTACTATAGTAATAATTTCATAGTATGATTTTTTGTTCTTTTGCTTTCAAAATTTGTTTCTCCATATTTAAAGTGAGCCTGTTGTGTGCAGCATATAGTTGGATATTTAAAAAAATATAACATGCTATTATTTGCCTTTAATTGAATTTGTTAGACCATTTATTATGTATCATAACTACTGATATACTTGGCGTTACATCTACCATCTTACTACTCATTTCCTATTTGTCCTACATGTGTTATATTCTCTTTTCCCCCTCCTTTGTTTTATTAATTTCAACTGTTTTATTTTCCACATTTTCTTTGTATCAGCTTTCCAATCTTATATTCTTTTTACTATTCTTCTGGTAGTTATCTTAGTAATTACAATAATTATTGTTATTAATACCATAAAAATATATTAATGTATTTACCAATTTCCAAACAGCAAAAGGACCTTAGAATTCCTTTAATATATCTAATCACCTCTCTCCTTTTGTAATACTGTAGTCAGTATTTAAATTTTTACATATTTTAAATTGTGTATGACAGATTTAACATTTGTACTCAGATCTGCTGGCTGAGTGTTAAACCATCATTGTAGTTCTTTTCTTTTGAAGCTGAGGACTTGTTGTCAATAATGATATTCAAGACCCTTAAGATCCCCAGAATTATTTTTTCCCTCTCTCCACTGGCTTCTGCCCACCTACTGATCCTTGTACTTTTATTGCAGTCATTAGTAGTTGATTAACTCATATTCCAGAATTCCTGGTATTTTACCAGTGTTATTAAAGGTGATATGCAAAGTTGCTTTTATGTATTTGTTTTTTGGTTTTGGTTTGTTTGTTACATTACTTGCTCAGATTGTTTGTGAGGACTTTAGAGATTTAAAAATCAACAATATTATCATCATTTTGCCGAAACCAGATAGGTTAAAAATGTTTTTTTTTCACTTTTAATTTTATTGTATTAACCCACATAATCTAAGAGAAAAGCAAAAAAAAAAAAAAGCAATACAAAATATTATATAGCTATATGCCTTTATTCAAGTAAGATTAAGATGTAGTATAATGAAACCAATATCCTTTGAAAGATCTTTTTGTTAATGCTTTATTATGTTAGTTTTTGCCACTTAAATTTATTTGTAAAAGTATTACTTCTCTTATGCTCTTGCAAATGCCTAATTGATGATTATATAAAATATATCCAGTAATAATGAATATTTAATGTATCAATATCTAAATTGAATTTGAAGTTTATGCTAATCTTATTTCCAACACCTTTGATAACTTCACAGCAGGATAGCTTCCTACAAATTAATTGAGTTCATACTAAGCTAAGAAGATATTTTGCCATAAACCAAGAAGTTGTTGTTGTCTTCAGGTGTAAGAGTCAACTTTCTAAAGAAAAGGTAATAATAAATTGTTAGAAATCTCATCATAGTCTTCTAAGTTTACCATCATAAAATTTAAAAGAGACATAGTATTTTCACATTTTATTTAGTAATACACTTACGTTTATCACCATCAACATGTTCTGAGATTAAAAAACAAAATTTAATGTGTGAGAAGCTACTCCACAGTTATGGATCTATTCAAGAGCTAAGTCAAAATATTTATTTTCTAACTTATAAACTGTCCTATAACTGCATATTTTCTTATGATGTATTTTATAGAAAAAGTAGATATAAGGTACCGCCATTAATTTTTATTGGTTGAGCTCTAAATTCCATTGCTATATGCTTGACATAAACAGTTTGAAACAAGAACTTACCTAGATACGAGAAATAAATAAATCTTTGAATGCATTGCTCTCTATACCAAATATATTGCAAAAATCTGTGTTTGTCATTTTATACTGATTCTTGATAGATAGCATATGCATTGAAGTTCAGAGCAATGGCATTTTATTTATGTCCCAAGGTACTCAACTGGTTAATTAAAAAACAAATAATTGCCGAAATCACTAAGTGACACGGATATGGTTTGGATCTGTGTTCCTGCACAAATCTCATGTCGGATTGTATTTCCAAATATTGGAGGTGGTGCCTAGGGGAAGGTAATTAAATCGTGGAGGCAGATTTCTCCCTTGATTCTGTTCTCATGAGATCTGGTCATTTGAAAGTGCGTAGTTCCTCCCCACTCTCTTCTCCCTTGCTACTGCTCCAGACACATAAGACATACTTGCTTGCCCTTCACTTTCTGTGATGACTGTAAAGGCCTCTCCAGAAGCCAAACAAATGCCAGCATCATGCTTCCTATACAGCCTGCAGAAACTTTAGCCAACTAAACCTCTTTTCTTTATAAATTACCAGGGTTCAGACTTTTTTTTATAACAGGACAAGAATGGACTTATAGAAAACTGATACCAAGGAGTGAGGCATTTCTAAAAAGATACCTGAACATATGGAAGCAATTTTGAAACTAGGTAATGGGAAGAGGTTGGAAGAGTTTGGAGGGCTCAGATGAAGACAGGAAAATAAGGGAAATTGGAACTTCCTAGAGACTGGTTGAATGATCAAGGCCAAAATGCTGGTAGTGATAAAAATGGTGAAGGCCTGGCAGAGGAAGACACAGATGGAGATTAGGAACTTATTGTAAACTAATGCAGAGTTCACTTTTGTTATGCTTTAGAAAAGAGCTTGGTTAAATTGTGTGCCTGCCCTAGGGATTTGTGGAACTTTGAAGTTTAGAGAGATGATTTAGGGTATATGGCAGAAGAAATTTCTGAGCATCAAAGCAAGATGTGACCTGGCTGCTTCTAACACCCTATGCACATATGCATGAGCAAAGAAATGTTCTGAAACTGGAACTTATATTTAAAAGGGAAGCAGAGTGTAAAAATTTGGAAAATTTGTAACCTAGCCATGTAGTAGAAAAGAAAAGCCCATTTTCAGGGGAGAAATTCATGCAGAAATATGCATAACTAAAAACAAAAAAAAGGGCAAGTGCTAATATCCAAGACAATGGGGAGAAGGCCTTCAAGGCATTTCAGAGACCTTCCCAGCAGCTCCTCCCAGCACAGGCCCAGAGGTCTAAGAGGAAAGAAAGGTTTCATGAACCAGGCCCAGGACCCCACTGCAATGCACATACTCGGGCCACTGTTCACTATATTGCAGCTCCTCCAGCTCCAGCTATAGGTAAAAGGCACCCAAGTAGAGCTCAGGTTTCTGCTTCAGAGGGTGCAAGCCCTAAGTCTTGGCAGCTTTCAGGTGGTGTTAAGCCTGTGGGTGCACCAAATGCAGGAGGTGAGACTTAGGAGCCTCTGCCTAGATTTCAGATGATATATAGAAAAGCCTGGATGTCTAGGAGGAAGCCTGCTGCAGGGGCAGAGTCCTAATGGAGAACCTCTACTAGGGCAGTGCAGAGGAAAAATGTGAGGTTGGAGCCCCCACACAGAGTCTTCACTGGGGCACTGCCTAGTGGAAGTGCAAGAGGAAGGCCTCCATCCTCCAGACCCCAGAATGATAGATCTACCAGCAGCTTTCACTGTGTGTCTGGAAAAGCCACAGGCACTCAACACCAGCCTATGAGAGCAGCTATGTGGGCTGAGCCCTGCAAAGGGACAGGGGCAGAGCTCCCCAAGCCTTTGGGAGCCCACCCCTTGCGCCGAGTTGCCCTGGATATGGGACATGGAGTCAAAGGAGATTCTTTTGGAGCTTGAAGATTTAATGACTGTCCTGCTGGGCTTTGGACATGCATAGGGCCTGTAGTCCCTCTTTTTGTCTGATTTCTCCCTTTTGAAATGGGAATGTTTACCCAATGTCTGTACTAACATTGTATCTTAGAAGTGACTAAATTATTTTTTATTTTATATGCTCACAGGTGGAAGAGACTTGCCTTATCTCAGATGAGACTTTGGACTTTGCACTTTTGAGTTAAATATGACTATATTTTAGCTTATTCTAATAAATTAGAGGACAAATTAGCCAGAGAGGATCACCAGCAGAGACGCAAGACAACAATACTCAAGAAACTATTTTAGAAAAAATATATATATCAATGAAGACCAAAAATTACTGCTCTGCAACAGGGAGGAAAACTTTTAGGAACTTGAGGAGATTTACCACTATGACAGAATACACAAGGAAAATGCACATAAGGCTGGAGGTGGTGTCTCACACCTGTAATACCAGAACTTTGGGAGGCCAAGGTAGGAAGATCACCTGAGGTTCGGAGGTTGAGACCAGCCTGACCAACATGGAGAAACCCCATCTGTACTAAAAAAAATACAAAATTAGTCGGGCGTGGTGGCACATGCCTGTAATCCCAGCTACTCAGGAGGCTGAGGCAGAAGAAATGCTTGAACCTGGAAGGCGGAGGTTGCAGTGAGCTGAGATTGTGCCATTGCACTCCAGCCTGGGCAACAAGTGCAAAACTCCATTTCAAAAAAAGGAAAATGGAAATAAACTTCTGGGCACAGTGGCTCATGTCTGTAAGCCCAGTGCTTTGAGAGGCCAAGGCAGGTTAATTGCTTGAGTCCAGGAGTCCACGGCCAGCTTTAACAATATAGTAAAACCTTGTCTCTACAAAAGAACTACAAAAATTATCCAGGTGTGGTTGGTTGTGCATGCCTGTAGTCCCAGCTACCTATTAGGCTGAGGTGGGAGGATTGCTTGAGCCTGGGAGGTGGAGGTAGCAGTGAGCCAAGACCATGCCACTATAGTCCAGCCTAGGCAAAAGAGTGAAGCCCTGTCTCAAAAAAAAAAAAAGAAGAAAGAAAATGCAAATAACCTTGTATAAAAGGAATGAAAATATGTGTTTGATTTGCAAAAAGTTATAAAATGTGAATATCATATTTTATGATAACCCAGGGGTCCAAACATACATATAAAAATAATGTTAACTTTTACAGAATGATTAAATTTAACACCAACAAATGTAGGAATGAAAAGGAGAATCCAGAGGGTAACTCATTCCATTAAAATCATACATGGGTTGAAGTTCATTTAGATAGGAAATTACAAAAGAAGAAATTTCAGCTTCCACATTAAGGTGTTATGTGTTTTACATTTGAAATATGTATTATTTAATAATTAGTTTAATATATAGTTAACTTTATTGTAAATGTTCTGTATACCAATCCTAAATTACAAATAATTACAACAGCACTGGATGTTGGAAGTTAATATGTTGGCAAAAATACCACTCCACAAGATGCAATGTCTGGAGAATTCATAAAAATACATGCAAGCATGGCTCAAATGTAACCAAATTCTAAATTGTGAAGTGCACACTAAGCATCAAGAAGTTCATAAATGAGAGCCATACAATCAGGAAATGCCCAAGCAACACTTTCTCTACCTTTTGTAAAATTTCATATTTGAGACAGCTTGTTAGTTCTTTTTTTCTTTTGTCCATTTCTACTTTACAATGCCCCAACTCCTAATTCTTATAGGTTTCACAATGAATGCTCAACTATGTTTTTAAGATGTTTTCTAGGTGCAAAAATGATTCACTTATATATTTTGAGCAAATAAAATATAAAATAAGGCAACAAACATCTACACAAAGACATAATTGCAGATATGCATAGACACACTAATGAATGGTACTCATTGATTTTATGAAGTATTGACTTTGATCAATAAAAGATGCCAATGCTACTTGTGTCTTCTCTCTTTTTTTTGCTGAAATGGACAGATAAATACATGTGCAGATCATTGGATAGCTTACAAAAATTACAATATATAATAAATTATTAAAATATTAGAATTTAAATTTATTAGATGAAGGATGATTTATTTCAAAAATGTTGATAGCAAACCTAGATATAATCTATGTTACAATTATAAATTTGAATGCCTAATTATAATTATATAAAAATGTAAATTTCAGATTACTTTTTTTACAGAAAAATTATAAAAATAATATTTCAGAGGTGATCTTAGAATAGTATATGATATAGATTAAAGTCAAACAGCCTACCCACAAACCATAAATTTTATATATATACTTAAAGGGTATATACTAATAGTTACTTTTTACCAAGCTTATAGTAAAATACAATAATACAGAAAGGTTATGAAGGACACTTAATGAACACAATACAATACATCTTGAAACTAATAACAAAACTAAATAAATAAGCAACAAATGTGAAAACAATCTCCAAAATTACTTGCTTAAATGTATTACTTTAAAAAATAGTCATAACAGTGAATATCAAAATATATAAGACAAAATCAAAATTTTGCCCATAAGGAAATTCACAGATTTACATCTTTTCATTATGTCAACAAAGTATGAAACTAAATAAAATATTAAATTCAAGAGCTCAGATTATAACAGTAAAATACAGTAAAAGGTAATGTAAGAAATGATTAGTATATCTAACAAAATAAGAAAATAGATAACAGTAGAAGCCAAAATGCAGATTATAATAATCCAAAGTATATTATGAAAAAAATCAAATACACAGCTGATATGGTTTGGCTGTGTCCCCACCCAAATCTCATCTTGAATTGTAGTTCCCATAATCCCCAACTGGCATAGGAGTGACCTAGGGGAAGGTAATTGAATCATGAGGGTGGTTACCTTCACACTGTTCTTGTGATAGTGAGTGAGTTCACATGAGATCTGATGGTTTTATAAGGGGCTTTTCCACTTTTGCTCAGTATTTCTCCTTCCTGCCTCCATGTGAAGAAGGATGCATTTGCTTCCCCTTCTGCCATGATTGTAAGTTTCCTGAGGCCTCTCCAGCCCTGAAACTGTGAGTCAATTAAACCTCTTTCCTTTATAAATTACCCAGTCTCAGACATTTTTTTATGGCAGTGGGAGAACAGCCTAATACAGTAAATTGGTACCACAGAGAGTGGAGTGCTGCTATAAAAATACCTGAAAATTTGGAAGAGATTTCGAAACTGGGTAACAGGCAGAGGTTGGAATAGTTTTGTTACCTTAGAAGAAGACAGAAAAATGTGGGAAAGTTTGGAAGTTCCTAGACACTTGGAGGACTTAGAAGACAGAAAGATGTGGGAAAGTTTGGAAATTCCTGTAGACTTGTTGAGTGGCTTTGACCAAATGATTATACTGATATGGACAATAAAGTCCAGGCTGAGGTGGTCTCAGATGGAGATGAGAAACTTGTTGGGAACTGGAGTAAAGGTCATTCCTGCTATGTAAAGAGACTGGTGGCATTTGGCCCCTGCCTTACAGTTCTATGGAATTTTGACTTTGAGAAAGATGGCTTAGGGTATCTTGTGGAAGAAATTTATAAGCAGCAAAGCATTCAAGAGAAAGTAGAGCATAAAGTTCGGACAATTTGCAGCCTGACAATGCAATAGAAAAGAAAACCCTATTTCTGAGGAGAAATTCAATCTGGCTGCAAAAATTTGCTTATGTAATGAGGAGCCAAATGCTAATTGCCAAGACAATGGGGAAAATGTTTCTGAGGCACGTAAGAGACCTTCATGGCAGCCCCTCCAATCACAGGCCTGGAGGCCTAGAAGGAAAGAGTGGTTTCATGGGCTGGGTCCAGGGCCTTGCTGCTTTGTGAAGCTTTGGGACTTGGTGCCCTGCATCTCAGCCGTGGCTACAAGGGGCCAAGGTACAGCTCAGGGTGTTGCTTCAGAGGGTGCAAGCCTCAAGCCTTGGTGGCTTACACTTGGTGTTGGGCCTGTGAGTGCACAGAAGACAAGAATTAAGGTTTGGGAACCCCCACCTAGATTTCAGAGGATGTATGGAAATGCCTGGATATCTAGGCAGAAGTTTACTTGAGGAGCAGAGCCCTCATGGAGAACCTCTGCTAGGGCAGTGTGGAAGAAAAATGTAGGGGTTGGAGCCCCGACATAGAGTCCTCACTGGGACACTACCTACTGGAGAAGATGGCCATCATCCTCTAGATTGCAGAATGGTAGATCCACCGACAGCTTGCACTGTGTGCCTGGAAAAGCCAAAGACACTCAATGCCAGCTTGTGAAAGCAGCTGGGAGGGGAGATGTGCCCTGCAAAGCCACAGGGGCAGAGCTGCCCAAGGCTGTGGGAGCCAACCTCTTGCCTTAGTGTGACCTGGATGTGAGACATTGAGTCAAAGAAGATCATTTTGGAGTTTTAAGATTTGCCTGTCCCACTGGATTTTGGACTTGCATTGGGGCCTGTGGACCCTTCACTTTGGCCACTTTCTCCCATTTGTAATGGGTATATTTACCCAATTCCTGTATTCCTATTTTATCTAGGAAGTAACTAACATGCTTTTGATTTTACAGGCTCAAAGGCAGAAGTAAATTGTTTTGTCTCACATGAGACTTTGGACTTGGACATTCGGGTTAGTGGACTATTGGAAAGGCATGATTGTGTTTTGAAATGTGAAGACATAAGACTTGGAAGGAGCCAAGGACAGAATGATATGGTTTGATGGTGTCCCCACTCAAATCTCATCTTGAATTGTAGTTCTCGTAATCTTCACATGTCAGTGGCAGATAATTGAATCATGGGGGCACTTACCTCCATGCTGTTCTTGTGATACTGAGTGACTTCTCACAAGATGCAATGGTTTTATGAAGGGTTTTTCTTCTTTTGCTCAGCACTTCTTTTTCCTGTTGCCACGTGAAGAAGGATGTGTTTGCTTCCCCTTCTAACATGATTGTAAGTTACCTGAGGCTTCCCCAGCCTTCTGGAACTGTGAATCAATTAAACACCTTTTCTTTATAAATTACCCAGTCTCAGGCAGTTCTTTATAGCAGCGTGAGAATGGACTAATACAACAGCTAAATATCTTGTCAATTTTATATGAAGAAACAATTTACAATATCAGGGATGAAAACAGTAAACTATAGGTAAACAAGAGGATTATTAACAATAATAGTATTATAAAATAGTTATGTAAACTGGGAAATCTGTGTACAATTTTCTCAGAAAATTTACTTTGCTAAAGTAGATTCAGGAAAATTGGCATACTTGAATATTCTAGGAATTAGCATACCTGCTGGAAGCAGATCACTGTATTGATAATTAATTTTAATATTTATTAAAAATATAATTGCTCATAGAATGTAATTTATGTCACTGGGGATAATCAAGTGGCTCGAGATAATTATATTTTTATAGGGATAAAAATTTGTGCCCTAATACAACCACTTGAAAATGTTACAGTGTCATCCAAACATGTGGAAGTGTAATGTTCATATTGATTATGCACTTTGTTTATGCATTAATTTAGAGAACCTGATTCTTTCTATTTTGTCGTTCATTTTCCTGCATGTTTGAAGCTGGGCCAAAGAAATATCATTCTGGATTATGGGAAATATCCCCCACACCACTAGCAGAAACCCACAAACAACATCAACCAAGTGGACAAAAATAACATGAGATGATTAATTGTTACATTTATAATATGAGAGATGACAAAATCTATTTGAAGTATGAGTCTAATTAGAAAGTTATGCATAAATACAAAAAATACAATTCTGTATATAAAATAAATTCTTTAGAAAGTGTAATTATAAAAATATCATTGACATTTTATTGCAAATGTGAACATTTTATAATATAATTAACTATAAATATGTAAGTACTATAAAAATAAAATTGAGAGTCCTTCTAAGTTCCTGAGTGAAAACTGCATATTATGATGTCAATTCTTGCTTAAATACAATTATTATAATGTACTTCAAATTGAGTAATTTTATTTAAAAACTTGCAAATATAATTCCCAAGTTTTCTGGAAACCGTAAATAGAATAACAACAAAGAAAATGTTTATATAGAAACCTATTTAATGATGGTTGTGTCAAGAGTTCTGAAAATGTACCATTAAACAAGATGATCAAGGATATATAGAAAGATTAAACAAAACAGAGTGTCCAGAACTATTTTAGAATGAAGTATAATTATTTAACATAATGATATGTTTTATATATGACCTGCATCAAATACAAATGCATATTATCTTTTTGGGAGTGGTTATTTTTATGCAAAACACTAAAAATAAAACTAATAAAATAGAAGATTGATATGACTACAAAAACATAAAACTCTGTGTGGATTTTGCAGAGACATACAACCTTGGTAAGAGATCCTCAGGAAAGAATGAGATATATTTTTATTTTTATTTTTCCCTCTCTTGTTTTTTAAAGTCATGGTCTTGCTCTGTCGTCCAGGCTGGATTGAAGTGGCCCAATCATAGCTCACTGCAACCTCAAACTTCTAAACCAAAGCAATTCTCCTGCCTCAGGCACCTGAATAATTCGGACTACGGGTTTGTGCCACCACACCTGGCTAACTTTTGACATTTTTATTTTTAGAGACAGGGTTTTGTTATATTTTTCAGTCTAGTCTCAAACTCCTGACCTCAAAAGATCTTCTCACCTTGGCCTCCCAGAGTGCTGGGATAACAGGTGTGAGCCATCATGCCCAGCCCTGAGGTTTAATTTTCTATTGGTCTACAAAAATAGGAAATTTAGTGTATAATTAAGTTCATTTAAATAAAATAAACAGAAAGTATATGTCTTTCAGACCTCAATTAGTAAACTGATGTTGATTTTCAAAGATAAACATGGATATAGGAATGCTACAAAACTTTTCAGTTCTTAAATTCACATAATGTGAATTGAGATTGTGATGGATACCTGTATGGGTATAGATACAGATGTATGTTACATGTAAAAGGGAACTATCTTAGTACATTTGCGTTCTATAACAAAATACCTGAGACTCAGGAATTTATAAATAACAGAACTTCATTTCTTTCAGTTCTGGAGACTGGGAAGTCCAGTATTAAGGAGCTGTTATTTGACGTCTTGTGAGAACCTTCTTGCTGTGTCCCCAAAGGGAAGAAGGTGGAAGAGTGAAAGGAAAAAGAATCTACTCTCTGAAAACCTTTTATAAGGGCCCCAATCCCATGCATGAAGGCTCCACCCACGTGACTTAATCACCTTGTAACTTAAGCACCCACCTATTAATACTACCACATTGTTGATTAAGTTTCAACATATGAATTATGGAGGACATATTCAGACTAGAGTAGAAATAAAGCAAAATATAGATATTTCTGCATAGTGCCATATTTAACAAATTGTGTGCTGTAAATTTGTGTTATTTGTATTAGTAAAAAATATGTAACATTTAAACCAAATTTAAAATTATCACGAGTACAGAATCATAAATCCTTTTATGGGTCTATTGCAAGCCAAAGTATTCTGTTGGATTTCTGTTCAAAATTGAAGTCATTTTAGTCAATTTAGTCCTCAGATATTAGTTCCTATTATATATGCATCATATTATTTATCATATTGGTTACACAACACTTCCTCAAGTGATTACTTCATGATTGAGCAGGAGACTTGCTAGGTTATTAGATAATAATAGGCAGTATTTGAGATTCTTCTGAATGATATTTACATATATATTAGAAATGAGAAAAGGCAAAAGGCCTTCACTACCTAATGAAGTTATTTCTGTGTGTGGTGGTGGTGATGGAGAGATGCATAAACAATTTTAAACAGTTGGGCCTTCCAAACCCTCTTAATTTTATATGATCATTCACATTGCTGATATATCAAGTCCTGCAAAGAAATATATAAAAAATTCATAAAATTAAAGTGTTAAATAATTTCAATGAATGTAAAATACTTCTTTTAATCATGAAAACACTCCTAGAACATTTTCTCCTCCTACCCAGAACAATAACAATTAAAGTATTCCAGGAATGTTGACGACTCATTACATAAGAAAGGAAAACTGGAAATAGCACAAAGCTCCCAATGGCCAAGTCAGAATGAGATAAATCTCATTATGTAAGATTACTATTTTATATTTCTATGAATGCACAAGTTGTTCCTGAAGTAATAGAGAGAAACAAGTGTTAGTGGGCTAAGTATATTTTTACAAAGATAATGACAAATTTTAATAACTACTTTGAAATATGTGACATTTTAAAATATGGCAGCATACTAAGAATAAGTGAATCCACTTTTCATGGATCATTATCTACAACACATTTCCACTTTTATGCCACAGAGATTTTCAAGCCATCGAAAGCAATGTCACAGGAAGATAAAGGGAGTCTTGCTGTTTTTCAAAGGGCAGGAATGTTTACTCCTTTAAGAAAAACCATTCTGACTGAAAGATACCTATTATTTGAAATATGAAATTCTATGTCTTTCCTTAGATCTGTAGAATTAACAGAGACAAAGTGCTCTGTGAGATGAATTAAAACTAAAAACTTCTTATTCTAATTTGGGGTCTTAGAAATACTAGGTAGATAATGTAGTTTGAATATATGTGCCTGCCTAATCACGTTAAATGATAATACTCAGTGTAAAGGTGCGGCCTGGCAAGAGGTGTTTGGGTCATGAGGGGGGATCCACCCTGGCTTGGTGCTGTCCTCACAATAGCAAGTTCTCTTGAGATCTGGTTGGTTGACAGTATATGGCACCTCCTCTCCAACTCCCTCTTGATCCTGTTTTCACCATATGACATGCCTGCCCTGCTTTACCTTCCACTATGAGTAAAAGCTCTCTAGGCCTTCCCAGAAGCTGAGAAGATGCTTCCACTATGCTTTCTGTACAGCCTGCAAAAAATGTGAGCCAATTACATCTCTTTTCTTTTAAATTACCCAGTCTCAAGTATTCCTTTATGGCAATGTAAACATGGCCTACTAAAGAAAACTGGTACCAAAAGATACCTGAAAATGTGGAAGGAGCTTTAGAACTGGATAACAGGCAGAAGTTGGAAGAGTTATGAGGCCTCGGGAGAAAAAAAGAAAATGAGATAAAGTTTGGAACTTCTTAAGGACTGGTTACATGATTGGAAACAAACTGTTGATATGGACAGTGAATTCTCGGCTGGCAGGGTCTCAGATGGAAATGAGGAACTTATAGGAAACTAGAGCAAAGGTCTGCCTTAGCAAAGAGCTTGGTGACATTCTGTTAATGACCCAGGGATCAGTGGAAGTTTGAACTTGAGAGTGATTACCAAGGGTATGAGGCAGAAGAAATTTCTAAGCAGCAAAGCATTCAAGATGTGGCCTAGCTGCTTCTAAGAGCCTATGCTCAAATGCATTAAAAAAATGGCTTAAATTTGAAATTTATGTTTACAAATGTATATTTGCAACAAAAACATTTGGAAAATTTACCACCAGGCCATGTAACAAAGAAAGGAAAAGCTTTTTTTGGGGAGAGAAGCATTCATGCAGGCTGCAGAGAAAGCACTTGCTAGAGAAATTTTCATAACTATAAGGGAGCAAAAAACTAATAGCCAAGACCATGGGATAAAGACCTGGAAAGCATTTATCCTATTTATTCATTTGTTGCTCATTTATTTTTTGTTTATTTTATTGGAATATAAGCTCTATAAAATAAAATGGACCTGTTGCTCTTGCGTATCACTGTATGTCAAGAAGTTATCATACAGTATGAGGCAGAGTGGGCACTAAACAAATGTTTATTTTGATGAGGAAAAGATGGATAAATTGATGACAAAGGTGTGACATATTTCTTGTACAAAAAAAAAAAAGAACACCTTGGGGCACTAAAAGTATAGAAAAATTGCTAAGAAGCCAGAAGGGGGAATTAAATTAAAATTAATTAAGGAGATTGAGATCAAGATGGCAAAATAGAAACCTCCAGCAATTGTCCCCCTTGCAGGGACACCAAGTTAACAACTATTTACGCAGAAAAAACACCTTAATAAGAACCAAAAATCAGGTAAGCACTCACAGTACTTGGTTTTAAGTTCATATCACTGAATGAGGCACTGAACGGAGAGAAAAACAGTCCTGAATCACCAATGTCATCGCACTCTTACACCAAGCAGCTGTAGCTTGGTGTAGAGAGCATCTCTTGGTGCTGGGGGAGGGATTACACAGCAAATGTGAGGAATTAAACTGAATGTTGTCCTGTTGCAGCAAAAAAATAAATTAATTAATTAAATAAATAAATAAAAATAAAAACCACGAAACAAAAAAAAAAACCTCAGAGTAATGCCCACCCACAGAGGGGACATTTAAACCAGCCCTAGCAAGAGGAGAATTGCCAATCCTAGTGGTCTGAACATGAGACCCTGCAAACCTCACCACCAAGGGCCAAAGTGTTATCAGTGTCTAAGAAAATTTGAAAGACAGTCTAGGCCATAAGGACTGCAACTCTTAGATGAGTCCTAGGGCTGAATTAGGCCCAGAGACAGTGGACTGGGGAATATTGTGACATACTGAGACACCAGCTGGGGCAGCCAAGGAAGGACTGACATCACCCCTCCCCTAATCTCAGGCTACACAGCTCATGGTTATAAAAGATATCCCTCCCTTCTGCATGTGGAGAGCAGAGAGAAGAGTGGGGAGGACTTTGTCTTGCATCTTGGACACCAGCTCAGCCACAGCAGGATAGGGCACCAGTAAGAATCAAGAGGCCCTATTCCAGGCCCTAGCTCAGAGGTATCATTTCTAGACACACCCCAGGGCAGAAGGGAACCCACTGCTTTGAAAAAAGAACACAGTCCTGCCAGCATTTATCACTGGATAACTGAAGAGCCCTTGGGCCCTGAATAACCAGTAGCTATATCCAGGTACTATATCAAACATCTTGGTGAGCCTCTGAGATTTGCTGGCATCAGGTGAGACTCAGCACATTACCAGCTATGGTGGCTATGGGGCAAAACTTTTGCTTGAGGAAAGCAGACAAAATAGTAAAGGGAATTTTGTCTTGCATCTTAGGAACCAACAATGCCACAGGAAGTACTGAATAGTCTCTTGGGGTCTCTGATTCTATAGCTTTACTCTTAGATGGCATTTCTGGATTTTCCCCGGGACAGAGGGCATCCCACTTCCCTAAAGGGTGAGCTCCAGGCCGGGCAGTCACCACAAATTGACTTAAGAGGCCTTGGGCCTTAAGAAAACATCAGTGGTACTCTGTCAGTACTCCTCTTTATCAGAGGTGGCAGTGGATACAGGGTGAGGCTCCTCTGCCTTTGGAAAGGGGAGGAAAGAGTGGGAAGAACTGCATCTTGTGGTTTGAATGCCACCTCAGCTGCAATACAATAGAATACCAGGTACACTACTAAGGTTTTTGACTCTAGACCCTGACTTTGAAATGGCACTTCTGAACTCACCTGGGTCTTGGGGACCTCTGAAGGGAAAGACACAGGCTTGGATGGATTTGCCACCTGCTGATTATAGAGTCCCAGGGCCTTCAGCAAACATAGGCAGTAGCCAGGGAGTGGTTACAGCTGGCCTTGGGCAAGACCCAGCACAGTCATTGTGGTGTTGGGCACAGGGGTGCTTGTGTCACTCCACCCCCAGCTTTGGGGGCTCACAACAGAGGCAGAGACTCTGTATGTTTGGGAGAAAGTAAGGGAAAAGAAAAAGAGTCTCTGCTTAATAATTCAGAGAATTCTTTCTGATCTGTTCCAAGATGATCAAGGCAGCATCTCTATGGGTCTGCAAGAACCACAGCATCACTTAGCTTGGAATGCCCCCAAAGCAGAAACAGCTTAGATAAAAACATCCAAGTTCTTTCAAATAACTTAAGCCTTCCCAAGAAGGATGGCTACAAGTAAGCCCAGACAGTGAAGACTACAAGAAATAGTTCCTCAATGTCCAAACACCGAAGAAACATCTACTAGCATCAATACCATCCAGGAAAACAAGACTGCAACAATTGAACTAAATAAGGCACTGGGGAACAATCCTGGAGAAATAGATATATGTGACTTTTCAGAAAAGAATTCAAAATAACTGTGTTAAGGAAACTCAAAGAGATTCAACATAACACAGAGAAGGAATTCAGATTTCTATCAGATACATTTAACAAATAGATTCAAATATTTTTTTAAAAAAAGCAGAAATTCTGTAGCTGAAAAAATGTAATTGGCATACTGAAGAATGCATCAGAGTCCTTTAATAGAAGGATGGAAGAAGCAGAAGACAGAATTATTAAGCTTGAAGACAGCTATTTGAAAACACACAGTCAGATGAGACAAAACAAGAACAAAACAAACAAAATAAAAAATGAAGCACCGCTACAGAATCTAGAAAAGTGCCTCAAACAGGCAAATCTAAGAGTTATTGGCCTTAAAGTGGAGATAGAGAAAAAGGTAGGGTAGAAAGTTTATTCAAAGAGATAATAACAGAGAATGTCCCAAAACTAGAGAAAGATATCAATATCCAAGTACAAGAAGGTCATAAAACACCAAGCAGATTTAACACAAACAATACTACCTCAAGAAATGTAATAGACTCCTGAAGGTCAAGGATCCTAAAAGCAGCAAGAGAAAAGAAACAAATGACATATAATGGAGCTCCAACAAATCTGGCAGCAGGACAGCTGACTTTTTTATTGGAAACCTCAAAGGCCAGGAGAGAGTGACATAACATATTTAAAGTGTTAAAGAAAAAATAATATTCTATCTTAGAATAGTATATCTGGTGAAAATATTCTTGAAACATGAAAAATAAATATTTTCCCAGATAGACAAATCTGAAAGATTTCGTCAACACCACACACATTCTACAAGAAATGCTAAGGGGAGTACTTTGATCAGAAAGAAAAAAAATCACTAATTAGCAATAAATAATCATCTGAAGCTACAAAACTTCCTGGTAATAGTAGGTACACAAACAAGTATAGCATATTACAAGTCTGTAACTGTGGTGTGTAAACTACTCTTAGGCTAACTAGAAAGACTGAACAATGAACCAATCAAAAATAATAACTACAGCACCTTTTCAAGACATAGTCATTACAATAAGGTATAAATAAAAACATCAAAAAGATAAAAATCAGGGCAACAAAGTTAAGGTAATGTTTTATTAGCTTTCTGTTTGTTTGTTTATGCAAATAATGTTAAGCTTTTATCAGGTTAAAATAATGGGTTATAAGATAGTGTTGGCAAGCCTCCTTGTAACCTCCAACCAAAAAAACCTACAATAGATACACAAAAAATAAAAAGCAAGAAAGTCAATCATATCACCAGAGAATATCATTAATATCTTTACTAGAGGAAGACATGAATAAAAGAAGAAAGGAAGAGAAGACCACAAAACATCCAGAAACAAATAACAAAATGGCAGGAGTAAGTTCTTTCTTATTAATAATAACATTAAATGTAAATGGACTAAACTCTCCAATCAAAAGACATAGAGTGGCTGAATAAATTTAAAAAAAGACCCATTGATCAGTTCGAAAAGAAACACACTTTACATGGAAAGACAAAAGTAGACTAAAAATAAAGGGATGGAAAAAAATATTCCATGCCAAAGGAAACTAAAAAAAATAGGAGTTGCTATACTTACATTAGACAAAAAAGATTTTAAGACAAACACTCTAAGAATATACAAAGAAGATCACTATGTAATGATAAAGGCAATTCAGCAAGAGACTATAACAATTATAAATATACATGGACCCAACAGTGGAGCACCAAGATATATAAAGAAAATATTATTAAAGCTAAAGAAAGAGATAGACCTCAGTACAATAACAGCTGGAGACTTCAATACCTCACTTTCAGCATTTGGCAGACCTTTTAGACAGAAAATCAACAAAGAAATTTGTGACAAATCTGCACTGCAGAACAAATGGACCTAATAGATATTTACAGAACATTTTATTGAACAGCTGAATAATACACATTCTTCTCCTCAGCACATGTATAATTCTAAGATAGACCATATCTTAAGCCACAAAACAAGTCTTAATACATTCATAAATATTGAAGTAACATTAAGTATCTTCTTTGACCACAATAAAACTAGATATTAATAACAAGAGGAATTTTTGAAATTATACAAGTAATGAAAATTAAGCAATATGCTCCTGAATGACCAGTAATTCAATGAAGAAATTAAGAAGGAAATTGAAAAGTTTCTTGAAACAAATAATAATGAAAACACAACATATGGGATAAGGGATACAGTAAAAACAATACCAAAGAGGGGAGTTTATAGGTAAAGTGTCTACATCAAAAGGAGGAAAAATTCCAAGTAAATATTCTAATGACACACCTTAAATAAATAGAAAAGCCAGAGCAAACCAAATCCCAAATTAGTAGGAGAAAAGAAATAATAGAGATCAGAGCAGAAATAAGTGAAATTAAAATAAAAAATAGAAAAGATCAATGAAACAAAAAGTTGGTTTTTTGAAAAGTTAAACACAACTGACAAACTTATAGCCAGACTAACTAAGGAAAAAAAAGAGGAGATCCAAATAAATAAAATCAGAAATTAAAAAGGAGACATTACAACTGACACTGCAGAAATTCAAAGATTATTAGAAGCTACTATGAGAAACTATATTCCAATTGAAAAATCTAGAAGAAATGGACAAATTCCTAGATGCATACCACCTACCAAGCTTAAACCAGGAAGACATACAAAACCTGAATAGACCAATACATCACAAGCAATGATATGAAAGCCATAATAAAAAGTCTTCTCATAATAAAAAGCTTCGAACATAATGGCTTCACTGATGAATTTTACCAAACATTTAAAGAAGAACTAAAACCAATCCTGTCCAAACTGTTCTGAAAAATAGAGAAGAAGGGAATACTTCCAAACATATTCTATGAGGCCAGTATTTCTCTGATACCAAAACCAGACAAAGACACATCAGAAAAATAAACTACAGGCCAATATCTCTGATGAATGTTGATGTAAATGTCCTCAACAAAACACTAGCAAACCAAATTCAGCAATACATTAGAAATATCATTCATTATGATCAAGTGGGATTTAATCCTGGGATGCAAGGATGGTCCAACAGGGGCAAATCAATCAGTGTAATACATCATAGAAACAGAATGAAGGACAAAATCCATATGATTATTTCATTTGATGTTAAAAAACATTTGATAAAATTTCATATCTCTTCATGATTAAAAACCCTAAAAAACCGTGTGTAGAAGGGACATATCTCAACATAATAAATGCCATATATGACAGACCCACAGCTAGTATCATACTGAATGAGGAAAAAGTGAAATCCTTTCCTGTAAGATGTGGAACATGACAAAGATGCCCATTGTCAACACTGTTATTCAACATAGTGCTGAAGTTCCTACCTAGAGCAATCAGAAAAGAGAAAGAAATAAAGGGCATTCAAACTGGAAAAGAATAAGTCACATTATCCCTGCCTGCTAATGATATGATCTTATATTTGAAAAAACTGAACAGCTCCACAAGAAAACTATTAGAACTGATAAACAAATTCAGTCAAGTTGCAGGGCACATAATCAACACACAAAAATCAGTACCATTTCTATATGCCAACAGTGAACAATGTGAAAAAAGAATAAAAAAGTAATTTCATTTGCAATAGCCACACATAAAATTAAATACCTAGAAATTAACAAAATAAGTGAAAGGTCTTTTTAACAAAAACCATAAATCCATGATGAAAGAAATTGAAGAGGAAACAAAAAAGTAAAAAATCATCTATACTAATGAACTAAAAAACCAATATTATTAAAATATACATATTACCAAAGCAATCTGCAGATTCAATGCAATGCCTATCAAAATACCAATGACATTCTTCACAGAATTAGAAAAAATGTTAAAATTTATGTGGAACCACAAAAGACCCAGTATAGCCAAAGCTGTCCTAAGCAAAAAGGACAAAACTGGAGGAATTACATTACCTGACTTCAAATGGTACTACAGAGCTATAGTAACCAAAACAACTTGGTACTGATATAAAAACAGACACATAGACCAATGGAACAGAATAGAGAACACAGAAACAAATTTATACACCCACAGTGAATTCATTTTTGACAAAGATGCCAAGAATATACATAGGGGAAAAGATAATCTCATCAATAAATGGTGCTGGGAAAACTGGATATTCATAGATAAAAGAATAAAACTAGGCCCTTATTTTTCACTATATAAAAATTAAATCAAAATAGATTAAAGACTCTAATATAAGATCTCAAACTATGAAACTCCTGCAAGGAAATATTGCGGAAAGTCTCCCGGACATTGGTCTGGGCAAAGATTTCTACAAGCACAGGTAAGCAAACCAAACATGGACAAATGGAATCACATCAAATTGAAAAGCTTCTGCACAGCAAAAAAAACAATTAACAAAGTGAAGAGACAATCCACAGAATAGGAGAAAATATTTGCAAACTACCCATCTGACAAGGGATTAATAACCAGAATATATAAGGAACTCAAACAACTCTATAGGAAAAAATCTGATAAACTGATTTAAAAATAGGCAAAAGATTTTAATAGTCTTTTCTCAGAGAAAGACATACAAATGGCAAACAGGCATATGAAAAGGTGTTCAACATTACTGCACATCCAATAAGTGCTAATCAAAACTACAATGAGTTATCATCTCACCCCATTTAAAATGGCTGATATGCAAAAGACAGTTAATAACAAATGCTGGCAATGATGTGGAGAAAACGGCATCTACAATGTTGGTGGAAATTTAAATTATTACACCCATTATGGAGAACAGTTTGGAGGTTTCTCAGAAAACTAAAAATTGAGCTACCTTATGATCCAGTAGTTGCACTGTTTAGTATATGCCCCCAAATTGGAAATCAATATATCAGAGATATCCACACTCCTATATTTGTTGCAGCAATGTTTGCAATAGCTAAGACTTGGAAGCAACCTAAGTGTCCATCAACAGATGAATGAGTAAAGAAAATGTGGTACATATACATAATGGAGCACTATTCAGCCATAAAAAAGGATAAAATCCAGTCATTTGCAACAACATGAATGGAAATGGAGATCATTACATTAATCGAAATAAGCCAGGTACAGAAAGGCAAACATTGCATGTTTTCACTTATTTATGGGTTCTAAATATCAAAACAATTGAGCTCATTGTTATAGAAAGTAAAAGGATAGTTACCATAGTCTGGCAAGAGTAGCAGGGGTTTGAGAGGGAGGTAAGGATGGCTAATGAGTACAAAAACGTAGAATAAATAAGACCCACTGTTTGATAGCACATTTGCATGACTATAGTCAATACTAATTGTATATTTTAGAATAACTTAAAGAATGTAATTGGATTGTATGTAACTCATAAATGCTTGAGGGGATATTTACCCCATTCTCCATAATGTGCTTATTTTACATTGCATATCTGTATCAAAACATCTCATGAACCCTATATACATATACTCATACTATTTACCCATATACATTTAAAAAAAATTTTTTTAAACTTAATTACTGGTATTGGAAAATGATGTATGAAGGATATGTTATTTCTTTAACTTGGCCTGATTTTCAGGTAGAGTTTTGAGTTTTCTTTCATTTTGTATTTTTTGGAGGGTGTGGGGTTGAAGAGGCATTGCATTTTACAAGCAGTACAATTTCAGTATAGAGTTCTGTGATTGACAAATATAGTCAATTATATAACCATCAGGAAAATCAAGATATAGATTTTTTCCATTACTGTAAAACATTTCATTATGCTGTTTGTCATCAATTCTTATTCCCAATCCCTGACAACCACCCATCAGGTTTTTCTCCCTATTATTTTGTCTATTTAAGAATGTCATATTAATGGAATTATTTGTAATATACCCCTTATATGTATTTTTTCTTAACAGAATACATTTGAGATTCATCCATGTTTTTGAGTATATTCATAGTTCATTCATTTGTAATTGCCAAGTAGTATTATGTTATATAGGTAGTTGTACTGTAGCCTGCTTCTTTATTAACCCATTACAAGGAAATTTGTTCTTTCTGTTTTCTGGAAATTATAAATATAGCAGTTGTAAAAATTCTTTTACAGTGTGTGTGTGTGTGTGTGTGTGTGTGTGTGTGTGTGTGTGTGTGTGTATTTAAGATCTTATTTCACACAGGAAAATACCTAGCAGTAAGATTACCAGGTAACATTTTAAGTGTATAATTAACATTCTAACTAGGTACTTAACAGTTTTCTCAAGTAGCTATATAATCTTGCTTTCCTACCAACAATATGTGAGAGCTCCAGTTGCTCTATCTCTTCATCAACACTTAGTATGTCATTTAAAAAAATGTTTTTGCCATTATAATATGTGCATGGAGAAATTTCATATTTTTCTCCATTCCCTTCCATAATGAATAA
Organism: Homo sapiens; assembly: GCF_000001405.40. Lineage (NCBI taxonomy): Eukaryota > Metazoa > Chordata > Mammalia > Primates > Hominidae > Homo > Homo sapiens. The sequence continues at coordinate 89,491,389 of NC_000023.11, read as the reverse complement.
TGGGGTTAATCTTTTCACATTCTCATTAGCCATGTGTATATTTAATTTAGTCAAGCGTCCTTTCATATGTGATATAGTTTCACTGTGTCCCTACCCAAATCTCATCCTGATTTGTAGCCCCCATAATCCTCACATGTCATGGAAGGGACCCAGTGAAAGGTAATTGAATCACAGGGGTGGATTTTTCCCGTGCTGTTCTTGTGATAGTGGCTAAGTCTCATGAGATCTGGTGGTTTTATAAAGGGCAGTTCCCCTGCACATGCTCTCTTGCCTGCCACCATATAAGATGTGCCTTTGCTTCTCCTTTTGTGTTCTGCCATGATTGCGAGGCCTCCCTAGCCATGTGAAACTGTGAGTACATTAAACCTCTTTCCTTTATAAATTATCCAGTCTTGGGTATGTCTTTATTAACAGCATGAGAACAGACCAATACAGTAGATTGGTACAGCAGAGAGTGGGATACTGCTATAAAGATATCCTAAAATGTGGAAGCAACTTTGGAACTGGTCAACAGGCAGAGGTTGAAACAGTTTGGAGGTCTCAGAAGAAGATAGGAAAATTTAGGAAAGTTTGGAACTTCTAGAAACTTGGAGAGTTCAGAAGACAAGAAGATGTGGGAAAGTTTGAACTTCCTAGAGACTTGTTGAATGGGTTTGACCAAAATGCTGATAGTGATATGGACAATAAGGTCCAGGCTGAGGTGGTCTCAGATGGAGATGAGGAACTTGTTGGAAACTGGAGTAAAGATCACTTTTGCTATGCAAAGAGACTGGTGGTATTTGGCCCCCACCATACAGATCTGTGGACCTTTGAACTTGAGAGAGATAACTTAGGGGATCTGGTGCAAGAAATTTCTAAGCAGCAAAGCATTGAAGAGAAAGTGGAGCATAAAATGTTGATCACCAAGACAATGGAGAAAATGTCTGCAGGTCATGTCAGAGACCTTCGTGGCAATCCCTCCCATCACAGGCCTGGAGGCCTAGGAGGGAAAAATTGTTTTGAGGGCCAGGCCCAGGGCCACCCTGCTGTGTGCATCCTAGGGGCCTGTTGCCTTGCATCTCAGTTGCTCCAACGGTGGCTAAAAGGGTCCAAGGTATCACTTGGGCTGTGGCTTCAGAGGATGCAAGCCCCAAGATTTGGCAGTTTTCACATGGTGTTGAGCGTTCCGGTGCATAAAAATAAAAATTTGAGCTTTGGGAACCTCCACCTAGATTTCAGAGGATGTGTGGAAACACCTGGATGTCCAGGCAGAAGTTTGGTGCAGAAACGGGTCCCTCATGGAGAACATCTGCTAGGGCAGTGCAGATGAAAACTGTGGGGTTGAAGGCCCCACACAGAGTCCCCACTGGGGCACTGCCTAGTGGAGCTATGAGAAGAGGGCTACTGTCCTCCAGACCCCAGAATGATGGATCCACCAATAGTTTGCACTATGTGCCTGGAAAAGCTGCAGAAACTCAATGCCAGCACATGAAAGCAGCTGGGAGGAGGGCTGTAGCCTGCAAAGTTACAGGGGTGTAACTGCCCAAGGCTGTGGGAGCCTACCTCTTGCATCAGTGTGCTCTGGATGTGAGACATGGAGTCAAAGGGATCATTTTGGACCTTTACAGTTTAATGTCTGCCCTATCGGATTTTGGACTCGCATGGGGCCTGTAGACCCTTTGTTTTGGTCACTTTCTTCCATTTGGAATGGGTGTATTTACCAAATGCCTGTATCCACATTATATCCAGGAAGTAACTATCTTGCTTTTGATTTTACAGGCTCATAAGTGGAAGGGACTTGACTTTTCTCAGATGAGACTTTGGACTTTTGAGTTAATGTTGAAATGAGTTAAGACTTTGGGAGACTGTTGGGAAGGCAAGATTGGTTTTGGAATGTGAGAACATGTGATTTGGGGGAAGCCAAGTGTGGAATGATATGGTTTTGCTTTGTCCCTATCCAAATCTCATTTTGAATTGTAGCTCCCATAATCCCCACATGTTGTGGGAGGAACCAGTTGGGAGGCAATCATCATTTTCCCATGCTGTTTTCATGATAGTGAATAATTTTCATGAGCTCTGATGGTTTGATAAAGGGCAGTTCTCCTGCACACATTCTCTTGTCTGCCACCATGAATGATGTGCCTTTGCTTCTTATTTGCCTTCTGCCATGATTATAGGGCCTCTCCAGCCATGTGGAACTGAGTCTATTAAAACTCTGTCCTTTATAAATTACCCTGTCACTGGTATGCCTTTATTAGTGGTGTGAGAACAGACTAATAAAATATATTTTGTCCTTTTTTGAAGGATTGCTGTTTACACATTACTGAGATTTGAATGTCCTTTATACATTCTGGTTATATGTCTCTTATCAGATATATGGTCTTAAAATATTTTCTCCCAGAAAAAGTGTGATTTTTCTTTTCATTACCTTAACAGTATATTTTGAAGAGCAGAAGTTCTTAATTTGCATAATGTCCAATTTATCTAGTGTTATTCTTCTGTGACTGTACTTTTGGTAAAATATTATATATATATATGTATATATATATGTGTATATATATATGTATATATATATGTGTGTATATATATATATATGTAACCCAATGAGGCTAAGTTTTTCTATTATATTTTATTCTTGAAGTTGTATAGTTTGCAGTGTTGTATATAGGTTTATAAAACATTATGAGTCATCTTTTGTATAGGTTGCATTTTGTATTGTTTTATTTTTATTGAATATGATTGTCCAATTTTTCAAGCATAACTTAGTTAAAAGACTGTCCATTCTTCATGAAATTGCTCTTAACTTTGTATAAAATTAACTGGCAATATATACGTGACTCTATTTTTAGAATTGTATCAGTTTTTAACACAGAGAATGGCATTAAAAATAGAAAAATATATGAGCAAATATATATTATTGAAAAGGGGAAAATCACATTTGGAGTCATGCAAGTAGCTGGATATGGGTTGAAAAAAAGCACAAATAAAAATATATAATTTGGACAGTTAGCTGGATAAAAAGCTCATGAATAACCCTAAATGTGATGCTATCTTCTGCTTTTCCTTTTCTGGCAACTTGTAGCAGTGCATTTACATATATAGTGGAGTGTTCTATAATATGTTAGTTATCATAAAAAGTGTGATTGGAAATGTAAAGAGACTACAAAAGATAAAGGAGTTGGCAGGGCATTGTTGTAATGAAGGTAAAAAAAAATGAGGGCCTAGAATATGCAATTGGCAGTAACTCACAATGTAAATAGGGACAGAGGCATAAATATAGAAGCTATTTTGAGCTAGATTTCCTAAGATTTGTTGAATGTGAATTTATGAGATGAATCTAAAAAAGGAAAACCTCAAAAAAAAAAATCCAGGATTTTAAGCATGATTGGGGTTGGGCACAATTGACTTCAAACTCTGAATCTGCTGCCTAATGTCATATGAAATAAAGCAAGTTACAAAATCTCTCTAAGCTTCAAATCCCTTATTTGTAAAATGAGAATAATATTACCTATTGCATAATTTTTTTTTCCCTAGGGAAAATTGAAATACCATAAGTGTGATATCAATTAGACCCTTAATACCTTATTGTAACCTTCCGATATAGTTTGGCTGTGTCCCCACCCAAATCTCATCGTGAATTGTAGCTCCCATAAGTTCCATGTGTTATGGGGAGGAACCAGTGGGAGATAATTGAATCATTGGGGCAGTTTCCTCCATACCATTCTTGTGGTAGTGAATAAGTCTCATGAGAGCTGATGTTTTTATAAGGGATTTCACCCTTTTTATTTGGTCCTCATTCTCTCTTGCCTGCCACCATGTAACATGAGCCTTTTGCCCTCCACCATGATTGTGAGGCCATCGCAGCCATGTGGAACTGTGAGTCCACTGAGCCTGTTTTTCTTTATAATTTACCTAGTCTTGGGTATGTCTTTATCAGCAGCATGATAGCAGACTAATACAGTAAATTGGTACCAGGAGTGAGGTGCTGCTGTGAAGATACCCAAAAATGTGGAAGCAACTTTGAAACTGGGTAACATGCAGAGGTTGGAACAGTTTGGAGGGCTCATAGGAAGACAGGAAAAAGTGGATAAGTTTGGTACTTCTTAGAGACTTGTTGAATGGCTTTGGCCAAAATACTGATAATAATATGGACAATAAAATCCAGACTGAGGTGGTCTCAGATGGAGATCAGGACCTTTTTGGGAATTGTAGTAAAGGTAGGCAGAGGAAATTTCTAACCAGCAAAGCAATCAAGAGGTGACTTGGGTGCTGTTAAAAGTATTCAGTTCCAAAATTGAAACAAAGCGTAAAAGTTTGGAAAATTTGCAGCCAGACGATGTGCTAGAAAAGAAAAAACAATTTTTTGTGTAGAAATTCAAGCTGGCTGCAGAAATTTGTATAAGTAATGATGAGCCAAATGTTCATCACCAAGACAATTGGGAAAATATCTCCAGGGCATGTCAGAGAACATTGTGGAAGCTCCACCTGTCACAGGCCCAGAGGCTTAGGGGAAAAATGGCTTTGTGGGCCAGATCCAAGGTCCCCCTGCTTCGTGCAGCCTAGGAACTTGGTGCCTTGAGTACCAGCCACTCTAGCCATGGCTAAAAGGGGCTATGATACAGCTTGGGCCATGACTTCAGAGAGTGAAAGCTGTATCCCTTGGTAGCTGCCACATGGTGTTAACCCTGTGGGTACACAGGAGTCAAGAATTGAGGTTTGGGAATCTCCACCTAGATTTCAGAGAATTTATGAAAATGCCTAGATGTCCAGACAGAAGTTTGTTGCAGGTGCAGGGCCCTCATGGAAAGCCTCTGCTAGGGCAGTATGTAAGGAAAATGTGGAGTTGAAGCCCTGACACAGAGTCCCCAATGGGACACTGCCTCGTGGAACTATAAGAAGAGGGCCACCATCCCCAAATCCCAGAATAGTAGATCCACTGACAGCTTGCACTGTGCACCTGAAAAAGCCACAGACACTCAACCCCAACCTTTGAAAGAAGCCAGGAGGGGGTCTGTGCCCTACAAAGCCACAGGAGTGGAGCTGCCTAAGACCATAGGAACCCACCTCTTGCATCAGTGTGACTTGGATGTGAGACATGGAGTCAAAGGGATCATTTTGGAGCTTTAAAATTTGAATGACCCATTGGATTTCAAACTTCCATGGGGCTTTTAGTCCCTTCATTTTGGCCAATTTCTCCCATTTGGAATGGGTGTATTTGTCCAATGACTGCACCCCCACTGTATTTAGGAAGTAACTAACTTGCTTTCGATTTTATAGGCTCATAGGTGGAAGGGACTTTCCTTATATCAGATAAGACTTTGGACTATGGACTTTTGAGTTAATACTGAAATGAGTTAAGAGTTTGGGGGATTGTTAGGAAGGCATAATTGATTTTGAAATGTGAGGACATAAAATTTTGAAGGGGCCAGAGGTGGAATGATATGGTTTGGCTGTGTCCCCACCCAAATGTCATCTTGAATTGTAGTTCCCATAACTTGCACGTGTTGTGGAAGGAACCTGGTAGGAATAATTGAATCATAGGGGCGGTTCCTCCATACTGTTCTCATGGTATTGAATAAGTCTCATGAGAGCTGATGTTTTTATAAATGGTTCCCCCTTTCACTTGGTTCTCATTCTCTCATGTCTGCCACCATTTAAGATGTGCCTTTCACCTTCTACCATGATTGTGAGGCCTCCCAAGCCACATGGAACTCTGAGTCCATTAAACCTCTTTTTCTTTATAAATTACCCAGTCTTGGGTATGTATTTATCAGCAGTGTGAAAACCATCAAACACATCTTCTCCAAAGAATTTCAGTTCTATAGACACACACATGTAAAAATTGTGAATCTGGGGGAGAAATAGTATATATTTGGATTTGGGCATGTTGGAATTTAGACAAGAATATGAAAGTATCCACATGCAATTGAAAATGCATGATGGGATCTCAGCAAAGGGGTCAGAATTAGAAATGTGGTTTCACATCAAAGAATTGTGACAGCTGAAATTTCAATAGTGGTTTAAATTGCTCTGGTTGGTAGTAAAAGCCAAAATAAGACATAGGGGCTGAATTTCAAGAAACATCTTTATTTAAGGTAAGAATGAATACAAATGAGTAAATGCATGAATAAGATTGAGGTAGAACAAAAAGCAAAACAGTGCACTGACACTAAAGAAAAGGAGGAAAAAATTTTCAAAAAGTGGGGGATCATCAGGATAAGATGTTCCAGTTTTAAATTTTGTTGAGTACTGAGAATAAGCTTTTGAATTTGTATTTAGGGTATTCTCCATTACTTCTGAGGCAGCAATTTGAATAACTGTGATACAAGAAGAATTCAGAATCCCATGGATGAATATTACTTCTAATATTGAAATAAATATGTATAACTTAGGTTTTTGATATATCCATCAATGAGATGAGTCAATGCATGAATAAGATTGAAGTAGAACAAAAAGCAGAACAGTGCACTGACACTAAAGAAAAGGAAGAAAACATTTTCAAAAAGTGGGTGGTCATCAGGATAAGATGCTCCAGTTTTAAATTTTGTTGAGTACTGAGAATAGGCTTTTGAATTTGTATTTAGGATATTCTCCATTACTTCTGAGGCAGCAATTTGAATAACTGTGATAAAAGAAGAATTCAGAATCCCATGGATGAATATTACTTCTAATATTGAAATAAACATGTATAACTTAGGTTTTTGATATATCCGTTGATAGAAGAAAGAAGATATAGAAACTATATTTCAGGATTAAAAAACATAATGAGAGGGGTATTTGTTTGTTTTTGGAGGTGATGCAGTGATGTATTTAATTAGCAGATACAGAGGAGGAAGGAATGAAGAGAGTTTGGAGATGAAAAAAGAAGCAAGGATAAGTAAATATTCAAAGTCTCAGAAAATACAAAATTAAGCATAAATGCAAGGTTATTTTTGTAACAGTAGAACCCTTTTCACCAAAATAAAAGATAGATAAAAATGGCTGAAACATTCTAAGAGACTGCAGAAAATTGAGGGAGTTTTTGAAAAAGTATTTGGTACTTTTATCCTCATGGTTAAAACAGATGAAAAGCTAAAAACTCCTTTATGGGAAAAATCATTAAAGTATCCTCTTGGTTAAAACAGATGAAAAGCTAAAAACTCCTTCACGTGAAAAATCATTAAAGTATTATTCTAGCATATGTAATTATGCAAATGGTCAATTTTGTGGCAAATGAAGCTTACTTACTCTTGAAACCAAAGAAGTTTTATTAATTTATGCCACCATTGATTTCTCACCACCTTCTTAACATAGCCCCCATTAGTTGGCTTCATCTATGCTATGTAAATACCATCTGTAGAGTATAAGGATCTATTGAAATAACTGACATCCTCATTGGCATCACTTATTGACTCATAGAGCAATTATGAGACATAATTTGAGAGAAGAATAAACCAGCTGCTAACAATTAGTAAGTTTTGACATAGATGAAGAATCAAAACAGGAAGCTCAATTTTGGCAAAGAAGGTTTGGTAAAAGTTTGCAATGAACTTCCCTCTTAACACTGCCTTAGTTGTGTCCCAGAGATTCTGGCATATTGTATCATTGTTCTCATTAATTTGAAAGCATTTCTTGATTACTGCCTAATTTCAGTATTTACTCAAAAGCAATTCAAGAGCAGATTGTTTAATTTCCATGTAATTGTATGGTTTTGAGTGATGTTCTTAGTATTGATTTCTATTTTTATTGTGCTGTGGTCCAAGAATGTGGTTGGTATGATTCTTTTTGAATTTGCTGAGCATTATTTTATGTCCACTTTTGTAGTCAGTTTTGGAGTATGTGCCAGGTGTTGATGAGAAGTATGTATATTTTGTTCTTTTGGGGTGGAATTGACAGTGGCAAGAGACAAATTTCTGGGCAGACAGGGAGGGGTCCTTGGTGAAACTTGACCTTCAAGCCAAGGACAGACTAAAGCCTGAAAACCAAGCTACCAGCTCCAGATAGAATCCACACTCCAGAGGGAGAACTTCCATCTCTGTCTTATCCACTCTTCCTCAATTGGTTCTTTCCGAATGATGCCTTTTAACTAATCAAACGGTGCCTTTTCCAAGTCCACCCCTAAACCAGTCAGCATGCATTCTCCCATTGAAAGCCCATAAAAACCCTGGACTCAGCCTCACAGATGGCTACCCACTTTTAGGTCCCCTCTCACTGTCAAGAGCTTTTCTTTCACTTAATAAATTCTACTCTGCCTTACCCCCTCTGCAGTGTCTGTGTACTTTATTCCTCTTGGTTGAGGGACAAGAATCCACAACTTGCCAAATTGTGGCAGTGAAATAGCTGTAACATTCCTGCTCACTGAGCTATGGATGGTGGGAGTAAAAGAGCTGTAACACTCCTGCCTTCTGAATTATGGGAGTAAAAAAGCCACAACAGAATGTTCTGTAGATGTATATTAGGTCCATTTGATCAAGGGTTGAATTTAGGTTCTGAATATTCTTGATTTTCTGCCTCCATGATCTGTCTAATACTGTCAGTGGGTTGTTGACATTTCCCAATATTATTGCATTGGAATCTAAGTCTCTTTAAAGGTCTAAAAGAACTTGCTTTATGAATCCATGTGCTCCTGTGTTAGGTGCATACATATTTAGGATAGTTAGATCTTTTTGTTGCATTGAACCCTTTACCATTATGTAATGCCCTTCTTTATCTTTTTTGATCATTGTTGGTTTAAAGTCTGTGTTGACTGATAAGGATTTCAACTCCTTCTTTTTTGCTGTTTTCCATTAACTTGGTAGATTTTTCTTCATCTCTTTATTTTGATCCTATAAATGTCACTGCATGTGAAATGGATCTCTTGAAGACAACATACCATTGGATCTTGCTTCTTTATTAAACTTACCATTCTGCACCTTTTAATCAGAACATTTAGCCAATTTACATTCAATGTTAGTATTAATATATGCAAGTTTGATTCTGTCATTGTGTTGTTAACTGGTTATTGGGCAGACTTGTTTGGTTGCTTTATAGTGTTACTGGTCTGTATAGTTAAGTGTGTTTTTGGCTAGTAATGGTCTTTCCTTTCCATGTTTAGCACTCTTTTCAGGACCTCTTGTAAGACAGGTCTGGAGGTAATAAATTTCCTGAGCATTTACTTGTCTGAAAAGGACTCTATTTCTCCTTCACTTATGAAACATATTGGCTGAATATAAAATTTTTGGTTGAATTTTTTAAGAATGCTGAAAATCTGCAAACTATGCCTCTGACAAAAGTCTAATATACAGAATCTATAAGGAACTTAAACAAATTTACAAGCAAAAACAAAAAAAAACCTCATTAAAAAGTGAACAAGAGACATGAACAGACACTGTTCTAAAGAAGACATGCATGCAGCCAACAGCATATGAAACAATCCTCAACATCACTATCCCTTAGAGTAATACAAATCAAAACCACAATGAGATACAATTTCCCAACAGTCAGAATGGCTATTATAGAAAAGTCAAAAAATAACAGTTGCCGGTGAGGTTGTGGAGAAAAGGGAACACTTATATACTGCTGGTGGGACAGTAAATTATTTCAGCTGTTGTGAAAAGCAGTGTGGAAATTCCTCAAAGAACTTAAAACAAAATTACCATTTGACCCAGAAATTCCATTATTGGCTGTATACCTAAAGGAGTATAAATCATTCTACCACAAATACACACACACACACATATGTTCATTGTAGCACTATTCTCAGTAATAAAGACATAGAATCAACATACATGCCAATCAATGGTATGTTGGAAAAGAAAATGTGGTACAATACTTTGCATTCTTCAATCCAGTCAAGTTGACACTCAATATTAACCATCACAAATCTGCCCCATGTCAACTTAAAACCATACACATTATTGAAATAGTATATAATCTCCAAATAAAGACAATAATAAGGTCATAATTACACCTAGCACAATACAGCTTTCCTTTGTATAACCAGAAGTGAACCAATCCCCAACATAAATGCTATTACATTAACAAAACTTAAATGCTGATATGAAGTCAATAAATCTTATGTCACGTGATATAAAAGGAAATAAAATGAACATATTTTCTTAATACAACACAAACATGTTCTTAACAACATAAGGAGGAAATACTCATGACAATTACAGTGCTCATTTCTGCAGCTGGTCATGTAGTTGTAGCAGGTATTGATGACTACCTTCTACTATCCATTCTGTATTCCCTTTGCCTTTAGCAGGCACCTCAGCAGGTCATGGAGTTTTACCTGCTGCAGTGACCCAAACCTTCATTCCTGAAGGGTCTGGGCCATTTGTAGTCCTGCCTGGATTGGGCTGTTGTAGTTTCCCATTGAACTTAATCAGGAGGCATGGTAATACCAAGAGACAGCCTATGAGATCTCCTGTATTCCACGCATATTCTTCCTTACCTCCATTGTGGAGTAGTAGACTGATTTAATCTTGATAGTCTGGGTCAATCACCCCATTTAAAGTTCCAGAATAGGCTGAGATCATTTCGGCCCCATTGGTTCCTCAGCCAAGCACATACACCAAATGTCTGAATCTGTGGTTCCTCTCATACTGAGCAGGATTACCAAGGCAACAACTATTGTTCCACCTGGGTGGGATTCTTACTTAAAGGTGTTCAGCCATAATCCCAAAGATGGTGGTACCATGCTTATTTTCCTAGTGATAAAATTATCTGTACACCAAACTCCTGTGACTCACAGTTTACCTATACAATAAACCTGCATATGTACTCTGAGCCTAAAATAAAAGTTTTTAAAAAAACCTTAAAGTTAAAATGTCCTTCCATTGCTGCATCCATAATCAAATTAGGGTGCATCCATTCAATGGAATACCATTCATAAAGAAAGTATTGAAGTATCCACACATGCAAACACATGGATTGATCTTTCATAACTATTGCTATGTGAAGGAAGACAGTATGAAGAAGCTACACACTTTATGTCCCTATTTATATGACATTCTGGAACTGGTGAAACTACAGAGATGGTAAACTGATCAGTGATTGCCTGGGTTGGGGATGTGAAGTATTCTTTGTGATACCTAAATGATTGACATCTGACATTATGCATTTGATAAGATCCATAGAATTTTACATCTCAAAGAATAAATAACAATCTATACTAAAAAAGAAGTGTTTGCCATAAGAAAAATCAATGTACGAAATGACTGGCAACACTTTGGATTTATTCTCAGGACTGTTTTCTAAAATAAGCCCTTTGTTTTCTCATTCTTTTTGAAAGTCTGTAAAAAAATAATTTTAGCTTAGAGAAAATTAAGTAAGTGATCAAAGGTCACAGAAAATAGAAGCTTTACCTCCACTGATAGAATAACAGCTGATTTTCAAACTCTATGTCCAGAAGGCTTTGCCATAAAACACTCATTAGCTGGAGAAGAGCATTGTTTCACAGTTCTTGTACCTACCTAACATTTTTGTCAACACTGCCACTCCCTGACTCTCTCCCAACAGTTTGAAAATTTAGACCATTTTTTTTCTGTCAAAGGCTCACTGAAAAATGGATATTAGTCTACAACTTTGTTGTTATTGTTTCTCCCTAAGGAAAGGAAATATCCAGTATTAACTGTAAAACATTTATTGAGAAATCATACAAATGTTTACTTGTTTATTAAGTATTTGAAGTATTTTAAAGTGGCCCTTCTTGGTTTTCCTTTTCAGAGTACCTTGAGGAGAAAGTTTGCAAAAAGAAAGCTTTAAAGAAGTAAGAGACTGCTTATTAGAAAAATATATTAAACAGAGAATATGCATCAGACATTATGTTAATGCTGGGTAGAAAAGGAGAACACAATAGATATGACACTGATCTGATACTGATTATGGAGTTTATATTTGAGTGGAAAGATGGAACATAAACAAATATGTAAAGGTGAGTAATTTCAAAGTGATGTGAAATAAATAAAAACAGGGTAAAATGATTGACGAACCTCATATTCTAGAAGAACAACTCATGAGTGAAGTAGCTGGCTTCATTGCTTACTACCACTTTTGGTTAACTCAGTGCAATTACTGTGATAAAAGTCATATTTTTCAAGGATCTTCAAAGTGTGAGAAAATAGGCAATTCTTAATAAGAAAGTAGTAGCCAAAATGAACAAATTCAATATATCTTCTAGTTCTTTCAATGTTCAAAATTGAAGATATACTAGAGGTCTTGTAAGGAGTATAAATGTCATAGGCAATATCTAGGCTATCCTCAACCCTTTTGACTTGTGGTTTGATTATACATGTATGAAGTTGTATTTCTTATTATGCAATAACCCCCATAAACACGGAAAGAAGGATTAATATTCATAATGTATCAAAATAGCTAGGCAAATGAGAAAAATATTCTTTGAATTCCTAAACTAATCTGCTAGAGAGGTTATCATTATAATTTTCTCATACAACTTATGAAATCATAGATGCTCAGAAATATTGAGCATCGTGTACAAAGTCACACTCTAATAAACAGCAGAAGTGGGACTAAAATTGCAATATCTCTTCATTCAACGTCTGTTCCTTTGATTCTACAATATGCTGCTATCTTCTCCCAGTGTCAAGAGTTATGCCATAAATTTGTTATTTCTTAGTAGTGAGAGGAGCACCTACCATTTTGCTGCCTTGTGTTTCTCATTTTCTCTTGGTTGTAAAATAATCTAAATGAGGTCAATAGAATTTTTATTCAGAAAAATAAGTATAGATTTATTTCTATGGAATAGAAAACACAGGCACAGTGGTGAAGTAGTGCGTGTTTCCTAATTCATTCTCTATCTCATTCTGACCTCTTTATTCCTCTCTACTTCCCTTTTCCTGTCAACCTAAGCACCCACCCTTCAGGTTCTACTTTCACTAACTAGGAAATTTCATATTGCCCTAGGGTTTTTTTGGCCATAAATGCATTCTATACTAGCTGTCATATTTTACACGATCAGTTTGCCAATGTTTTTCATAGTTACAATTGTCTCATAAAGGTAAATACAAATGAAATACATATATACCACAAAGCTGGGGATGGGTGGTAACGGCATAATGAATTTGAAAAAGAGATTTGTCATTTTCTTATAAAGTTAATATTAACCTAGCCTATACTGTTAGACTTTAACTTTTAGGGATTTAAATCAAGAGAAACAAAAATGTGTCCACAAAACCACTTGTCACTTGAGCAAAAATTATAATAGCTATAAAAAATAATGGCTATAACTTTAACAATCAACACATCCATCAACAAGAGAATTAGATGGAAAATATACAATATATTCAAGCAATAGAGTAATACAAAAGTAAATAAAAAATACTGATAGATATTCAACTTAAATCAAGTTTTAGAAAAAGAAAAACTGATACATAGAGTTAGAAATCACATCAGTGCTTGTTTGCAGTAGAGGTATAGGAACTGACTCCAAGAGAAGAAATATGTTTTGGGGTGATAAAAATGTTCTTAACCTTGATTAGTGTAATTATTACATAGGTGTACACATTTGTCAAAACTCATGCAACTCTATGCTTAAAGTATATACCTTTTATTGTATGCAATTATATCTCACTAAAGTTAATTTTAAAAATATCTGGAAGTTCTTGAAAGTTTCTGACACTAACCAAATAATAGCTTTATTGTTTTGAATGTATGCAATATATACAGTTCAAAAAGAAAGATAATTTTTTTGGTTGACTTATATTCAGGATCAATTGTAATCTTTTTATGTTGGTTACTTTCTGCTTTATACACATAAAGAAATGGTTGAATTCATTCAGTTTTCAACAATCTGGGCCTGAGGTACAAAATAAAACTATAAAATATGATGTGAGGGTGAAATATGTTAAATTTTAAGAACAGCTTTTGAATAATTTTCTCAATAGTCTCTTTTATAGAGGATAACAGCATAATTTTTAGAAGTAGATTTAGAGCTTTAAAAGCCTCCAAAAAATGGGGATTCATCCTAGGATTCATATGATGACTGTATTAGGAGCATATTTTCTTTTTCTATTTAAACAAATGTGAGAGAGACCAAAATCTCAACCACAATTTATTATATGTGTACAGAAATAAAATTTCATGCACCATATTTGACAACTGAGAAAAAATACATTAAATCAGACTAACCTGGAATTTCTTGTATGCACTGTCATCACAGAAATGAGTTTCTATGTTTTCTAATGTATTTTTGGTCTAGTGAAAATTATCAAACTGTGAAAGTTTAGCAAAGCAGGCAAAAGTTCATCATTCAAAAATATTTATTAGGTGCATGGTATGTGCAGAAAACAGCACTGCAAAATATTCAATACTCACAAAAGTACAAAAATTATACATCAATTCAGGTATCCATGCAATGCATATTTATAGAGGACTTCTATGGTACCAGGCTATATTAGAATTATCAAAGTTAATTAAACAGGCACAATCTCTGAACTTATGAGCTTTACAGTCATGATTTACCTTAAAGTCAAAGCCATTTTAATGATAAATGAATAAGGCTCTTTTCAGTCTCTTGTGTTTGTGTGCACTGTAATTCCATTCAAACTCTACTCCTTTCTTCGCTCTCCAACTAGTCAATATAGCATCTATTAAAACTAAATAAATAAAATGAATAAGGCAAAAAATTTGAATAAAAATAGTTTGATTAGATTGCTTTCTGCCCCTCCCTCCACCCTTGATGTTTTTTAATTCCCTCATTAGTAGCATTTTCCATAAATACCTGGAAACTAACTTCAACTGCTCTATAAAACCTGAGAAAGGCCTTAATATTATCTTTAATTTAAATTATATCACCAGAGTTCACCTTCATAGAAAGATTTAAATGGCAAAAAATTAACAAAAGAGATTTTGAATTTAAAAAACAAATTTAATATTCCTTTCTACAAATTGGTGGCTTGGGTAATAACATAATGTGATACCTAATGTATTTAATTATTAAATAATAACATACGATTAAAATAAAAATTAGTTAATCTGGTTTTAGGAAGTAATGATAAAATCCAGGCATTTTTTTCCAGGGGCAGTAAATACAATCTACACTGTTTACAGTTACCTAGTGATATGCAACATCAAGATAGCTTGTCAAGTTAACTAAACAGTTTCTTTCAACTTGTGATTTAAAAATCTATTAACAAGTCATTTTATCAATTCAGTAGGGCTCAACCACTATTAAAAAACATCAAATATGCATAGACTAGGATAGCAATATAAAAGTATATCACATATATTAAGGGTAAATATTATTTCATGAAACTTTTATTTTCATTACCCATAGAAGGACAGGAGTTTCACATTTGGATTTTTAATAAAACGACCTTGTAACTTAAGTGTAAAAAGAAAAATCACAAAGAGGAAGTAACTACACTTTTTATTATAGCCATTGTGAAGAGTTATTTCTTCGTATTTATATATAGCATAGACTAATATACAGATATAATACATGTTTATAAATGTACGTGATTTCAACTTTGTGTTCTCAGTTCTAATTACAACAGCCTTTAGTATGGACTAATTAAATCTACTAATAACCCACAATCTTTATCTTAGCAAGATACTACAATTTCCTCCCCATAACATCAGTAGAATAACTGATTATTGGATGCAAACATGGTTGTCATGCTTTTTTCCTCTTCTCTCTTCCTGAATCCTGACTCTAGTGGTGATGCTGACAAGCAGGAAACAAGCTTAAGTAACTGTGTTAGTCTGTTTTCACACTGCTGACAAAGACATAACCGAGATTGGGCAACTTACAAAAGAAAGAGGTTTAATTGTACTCACAGTTCCATGTGGCTGGGGAGGCAAGTCATATCTTATGTGGTTGGTGGCAGGCAAAGAGAGAGCTTGTGCAGAGAAACTCCCGTTTTTAACACCACCAAATCTCGTGAGACCCATTCACTATCACGAGAACAGTGCAGGAAAGACCCGCCCCCATAATTCAGTCACCTTCCACCGGGTTCCTCCAACAACATGTGGGAATTATGGGAACTACAAGATGAGATTTGGGTGGGGACACAGAGTCAAACCATATCAGTAACTTATGACCTGTATAATCAAGTCCTGAATAATGAGGAGGTAGCCACATTTTGAAAACCAATTATGTGTATTTATTTATGTCAATAATTTAGTGACGAAATTTGATTTGAATGTAGATTTAAAGCGGGTGGTCACTCGACTTTATTTTTATTGTCATGTTATTTATGGAATAAATAGTGTGCTAAAGAGGTACAGAGGAACTCACAATGTTAACATGAAATACCACTATTTCCCAGAGCAATAAAGAAAACATAAATGCATTAACATCTTCAGCACAGACACTACACTCTCAATAGCTATCCATTTAGGCTAGTTATAATTACAAGAATACAAACAATCTGGCAAATTAAAGAAATAAAAATCAGAAACCACTTGCTGTGTTCAAATGGTGATATTTTTGAAAGCTGACAAGGTATCTAAAAATGGACTCCAAAATTATTCTTTACCAATAATTGTGTACAGAAGTGGCACTTACTACATTTAAAAGTCATTTATTTAGCACATATTGAGTCATTTTTAGGACTCCTTTTCTGCATGTTAGTATTTCCCACCTGTGGCAAAGTTTCATCCTATGCTCCTCCACATTGTTACAGCTCCATGCACCAGACATTTGACTCATTATCTCTGTAACAACTCAGACTCTAACTGAATGGGGATAAATAAAGGCAATGTATAAATTAACACACAATAAGTTATTATCAAACAGTTCTGAGTATTAAAACTCTTCTGGATAACATTTGTTTTTTATTATTATTTTTAATTGACAAAAAAGAATTGTATATATTTATGGTTTATGACATGATGCTTTAAAATATGTATATATTGTTGGTTTAGGTAAATATAATTAACATATGCATTACCACACATACTTATCAGTTTTTGTGGTGAGAATACCTAAAATATATTATATATTAATTATACATTAACTAGTTAATACACTGTTATTAACTATAGTCACCATACTGTACAGTAGATCTCTAGAACTTCTTCCCCGAACTGAAATTTTGTATATTTTGACCAACATTTACCCAATCCTTTCTTCCCATAATTACTGCCTTAAGTAAATGAAGTAATCACCAAATAAACTTCATGGTCAGTACTAATTGCAAGATCAATTGGGTCAGAAACGCATTCCAGCATCCCTCATAATTCACCAGAGTCTGTACCTCCTACAGGTAAGGATAATTCTGATTACAATGTTTTTCTGCTCACATTAAACAAATCGTGGTCTTATTAAAGTACTAAAATGACTCTATGATTTGGAACCCCATTATATTTTTAAGGATTTCCTTAGCTATGGAAAGGTAAAGTGCTTGACACTTAGCGCTCTTTCTACATTATAAAAACAGTTGCAGTAATGGGGAGTCAACTTGCTATCAGAATCAATGAGCATTCACAATATATTAAGGACTCTTCTTCAGGAATAAATGAGAGCCTCTTTAGGGACTTATTAAATGGCTGAGATGATATCAAAATATTTTTCATAAACATACATTATAGATTTACTTTCGGGTTTTAATTTGTAAGTAAAAATTTGGAAAACGGTCATGTCTTGTCAGACTATCACTTGTCAGACCATCACTCTCAGAAACACATTTGTGGGCACAGTCAACTCTAAAGATATGTTTGGACTGGAACACATCCTGTTCTGATTTCCACACCATTCCCATGTATCCCAGAACATCATACACCACATTTTATACAGGCAAAATTGAGATAAAATAAATTTCAAAAGCTAATAAAGTGATATATGGAAAACACATAGAAATTTTCATCAGTTACGTGACAGTAGATAATAATTAACAAGCTAATTAACATATATGACTCTGATCACTCCTAATACTAACCCTTCACTCGGAGGTACTTACTTTTATAGGCACTGGGGAAGTATATTTTTCCAAACTGTCACATCTAAACCACTTGCATTGATTCCTCAAACTCTGGGAACATAGGTGTGCAGATGACAGAGTCCCAAAATTAAGTTTTCCATTCACTGTCTATTACAGTTAGTATAATAAAAAAATAGTAAGAAAAACATACAGTAAGAACTATGTAGTAGCAGTAAACTTTTAGTTCTAAAGCCCAAATAAAAGTCCTGCAAAGTATAGATCACATTAACTTTTTAGCACTTTTGTAATAAAAGTGACTTACTTCATTAGCATAGAGTGTAAATGCTGCCATCCTCCCCCATTTGCATGGGGGAATCGACCAACTGGGAGAAAATCAATGGATATTCACAAACTCTTCTTTTTGAAGTAATTTTAAATTTTTTTCCTCTAATTAATCACCATTCACACATAATAGTAGAGAGCCAAATAACTTGTTTTTGAAACTTTATTACTTCAAAATTGCCCAAATTATCTAACACATACAGATTTCAATTTTGTCAAGTCCTGCCTCCCCAAATCATAAGAAATAAATTAAGAGAGTCTAAGTATTTTAAGACCAGTTGTCATTGTTTCTGTAACTGAAAAAATGGTGTTGTTTTGAAAAGTATGTTATTTATAGTCTATTGTGCCTTATACATTGATAAGGAAAAACAGTCACTAGCCAAGATGTAAAAATGGGTCAAGGAGTTGATTGTTAACATTATCAGACTTTATAACTTATACTACCACGATCTGCAAAGCTTCCCAAATTATGATCACAGGACAGGGTGGTTGGCTGTCATGAAGTTTGTGGCCTCAAACGCACACTGTGCAGGAACCAGCTTCCCCTACAAACAGAAAGATCCTGCCAATAGGCCTGGGTAATCAGGCCAGATTTTCCTTTTCAGGATTAGCTTACATTTAGGATCTTTAACATTTTTTTCTGTCAGCAAATCTAGGTTTGGAGAAACTCAATCCATCAGAGACACTCAAGACAGTGCCTGAATATCTATTGGTATTCTCACAATTAGTTGGTTCTCTCATTCAAATTTACTTAATTATGTCTACTATGTAAGCAAAGATTCTTTAGATAAGTTTGTGTGTGTGTGTGTGTGTGTCTGTCTGTGTGTTTAGGTGAAGAGAATGTGTGATATTCTTCATACCTGGAATAAATAGGTATTGACAAAACCACGTTTTGTTTTTGTATAATATATAAGATTTTGAGTGAGAAAAAGACATTTGCCTCAATTTTAAAATATCACTTAATAGTTATGGTACAACTATGGGTAATAACCCATCAGAGCTAATATAATATTTAGCTGGCATTTCCTAAAGCAAATTCCATTAAACTTGAAATATTAATAAATATTATCTTAGAAATAGGTTTGTTTCATACTCACATATATTTTGGAAATGCTGTTATATAGACACAAATATGTTTCTTTAATGGAATATCTATTAAGTTATTTGATATTCTAATGTGTATTGTGAAAGTGCAAGAGTAGCATGAATAAGCTGAAACAATAAACCAGTTATGCTGAGAATTTCACGTAATCCCTGAATACTCTTTGGTGAATTTTATGTAAGCTATCTACACCAACTGAATGAATATTTACTATTGATCAGATCATCATAATAGGTAAACCTCAAAAAGCAAAATCCTAAAAGGAGAAAAAAATCATGATAAAAACATTTAATAAGAGTCTTTTGTGAAATAGTACTTTTCCTCTTTCTCTCCTTCTCTGAGATTTGCAATTTAACAATGGCAACTTGGAAGGTTGCCAGAATAGTCCAGGCTCTGGACCAGAAAAACTAAACCCCAGTTCTCTGGAGAAAAGCACTGACTTTCCCAATGATTAAGTAATATTAATCAAACATTACACACACACACACACAAAACCAGAAAACAAATCACCATCAATTAGAGTTAAGAGAAACAACAAGCAAGAGATTTATAGACACCAAAGATTATAGAAATAGGGATACTCAAATTAAAAAATTAATAAACCTTCATGAAATACATCAACTAAGAAAAAATGAATGAACAAAAAGACACAATGAAAAGGAATATTTAAAAAGTAACCGAGTTTGAATGTGTAAAAATGTAAAATTAAATTCTCAAAATCAAAAAAAATACATGGGACAATCAGCCTTGGCCTAGAGGCAAATGTCACACAGTACAAACATGATACCAAGGACTCTGCTTATAGATTTGTTTGAATAGAGGGTGATAGTTCTCAGAGAGGGGAGAAAAATCATGGACTGACTACAATTTCTCAGATATCTCTCGTTTGGTGAGTTTCATGTTCTACATTTTTTTTTTGGACAGGAAAAATTCTGAGTTTTATTATTTGATCCTCCAACTTTCAAAATCCTTACAAACAAAAATGTTTTCTTAATAGCTTCACGTGTATGTTTCTTCATATCATGATGTAACTTTGAATTAGGAATGCATCAGTATATAATGTTAAAGCATTAAATGTATCAAGTTTGCCTCTCCACTACATAACACACACACACACACACAAATTAATTAATAATTTAAACTCTTTGAAATCTATGATTTGAATAGAGAGATGAGAAGAAAAATGACCAGTTCATTATATTATATAATCTAAGCTTTGTATATGGTTTTCTTTTTTTAAAAAAAGTACCTTGTAAGTTAAGAAAAAAGGTAATTGACAAAATACCAGTGCAAATTATAGACATAATAAAATTAAATTCTATGAGCCCAATTTCAAAGCAACAAGTATGAATAGCTTAACCAACTTTCTTGTTTCAGGTCCTTACGTGAACCAAAATTATGTTTTTATTTATCACTTAATAGGAACCAAAAAGAGCCACAGATGTTTTGAAGAGCGGGATGCTATGAAGTACTGTTTTAAAAACCTTATAAAACACTTCAGTGAAATAGGAAGTCATTCATGTAGAATTGTTAATAACCCTTACTGCATTTAAACCACAATTTTCAAAGGAAAAAGCTGCTCCTCTGTCATAGTTTTATTGTTACTTACTTTTAAAAATCAAATATAAATACCTTTAATGAGAACATATTGGGAATAGCTATGTGCTATGCTCTGAATTAAGCATTAGGGCAAAAAATAGATGATATAAAAAGTCAAAAAATAAAAAAAAAAAAAAACGAAAACAACTCACAGGATGGATTAAGCTACAGTTTAGTCATAGTTGAAAAGAAAATTTAGAACTAAATGATAGACCTGAAGAAATTGCCCAGAATGGAATATTGAGAGGCAAGTAGATGGAAAATATAAAGGTTTAATAAATGTGAACAAATGAAAAGGAGTACTGTTGGTATAATTGAAGTCACAGAAGAAAGCAATAAACAGAGTTAATGAATTATAATATTTGTCAAGAAATTTCCTAAGACTTCTGTAACTCTGATTAAATATAAAGAACCAGGAAATAAAATGAATACTAAAATGGTAAAGGAAATTATGATATATCTAGAGACATTGTAATATAATTGCAAAACATTAAGGCAAAGGTTTTTTTTAAGTAGTTAAAAATTAATATGGGCTTAAAAATTATAATTATACTTAAAACAAACATCTCAATAATAATAAGGACAACCAGAAGACAGTATATAAAAAGTGTAAGAGAAAATAAATGTAAAAACAAAATTGTGTTCTCAAAAATTATTACTCAATAATGAGAACTAAATAAATTTTCAAACAACAGCCAATTTTATTACCAACTAACATACTCTAAAATTATTTTAATATTGCAAGAAGAGGAAAAATTAACCCAAAATGAATATTTGTGACAAAGGAAAAAAATATTAAGCAAAGAAATTTATAGACTTAACAGGGGAATCTTAACAAATAAATTATCAGTGTAAAATAATAAAAATATGGTTTAACATGAATCAATGAAAAAGAAGTATATTTTAAAAATTCTAAGGAAGGTTTTAATAAAGCACAAATCTTAGACATTAGACAAAATAGAATGTAAGTGATGAGAGGCTGAATTTAGGTTAAGTGAGTTAAAAGTCTTTCTATTGTATAGAAAAGACATTAAGGCATTATCTTCAGACCTTGTTATATCTGTGAGGTGAAAGGTCCTGGAAGGGGGTAACTACTAAAAAAATAGAAGTAAGGTATATAGCTCCCAAGCCAACAGAGCCAAAAAAAATATAAATAAAACCCAAAATAACTTGAGTAAAAGAAGAATAAAGAAAGAGATATAGAAAATTTTAAAATAGAAAGCAAAAATTAATATGTGCGAATATCTAAAAATGCCATATTTCTGATAAAAGTGAATGAGCTAAATATTTCACCTATAAGACAGAAATAATCAAATTTAAATTAAAAATATACCTATATGCTATATACAAAAATGCAGATGTGCAAAATTATTGATGCAATATAAAGTATGAAAAGAAAGTGAAGGTGACTACATTGATATCATATAAAATAAAATTACTAAGAAAAATCATTATTAATAAGAGAGAGTGTCATCTCATATAGTATACAGAATAATGGACCCCAAAGATCTCCACATCCAAATTACTGGAACCTAAGAACTTTTTAAATTATAAGGTCAAAATTACATTAAAAATATGTTTAATGTAGTAATGTTATCCTGGATTATTTAGTTCCTCTTAATCTAATCACATTAGTCTTTAAAAGTGGAGCATCTTCTTAGGTTGTAAGCAAAATAGAGATGTGTCAAAAGAGGATGCATAAAGAGAGTTCAAAAAAATTTGAAGCATGAGAAGGACTCAAACTGCTGTCAGTAATTTGAAGATGAAGAGGGTCATGGTTTAGAGAATATAGGTGGCCTCTAGATGCTGAGAAAACCTCCATGGCTGACAGCAAGGAATAAGGGATCTCAGTCATATAACTATAAGAATTTAGTCCACAACCTTAATAAGCTTGAAAGTAGACTTTTCCTGAGAATCACCATTAAGGAACACAGTCCTACATCATCTTGATCTCAGCTGAGCCTCCTGAACTTCTGACTTAGAGAAATGTGAAATAATGAATGGTTGTTGTTTATGGTGATTTGTTTTATGTCAGCAATAAAAAAAACCTAATAAATTTAGAATAACGAAATGACCAATTCATCAAGAAAATTTCATAATTCTGAACTTGTATGCACATAATGAAACCATCTTTAAATACACAAAGCAAAACTTGCTAGAGGTGCAGAAAAATATTTACAAAGTCATCATTATAACATTTTTTTTAAAAAAGCTAACTAATCATAGATCTTACAAGATGGCATAGAGTTATTTCTCCCTTCTCTTATTTACTAAACACAACTTTATACCCTGGAAATAATCCAAGATGCAACCAAAAAAAAAAAAATTCTGAAAGGTGGTAAGAAGAAGGAAAACTGGTAAGGGACTCCAGAAATGGAGGAACAACAAAGAAGCAGGATGTCTTGGTCATCCCACCAAACAATGGAAGGCCTTCCAGGCCCAGGATTTCCTGACTCCAAATCTAACAGCAAAAGGCACCCTGGTCATTTTTTTCCTCCTCGGGAATGAATAGAAGACCCTATGACATAAAGGGATCCTGGCATCTTGGGCCAGACAATTTGATTGAGATTCTTGGCAGGAAAGCATCCTGTCTCTTCCAGGCCTGAGACTTTCCCAATCCACATGCCCAGAATCACTAAAGCAGTGATTTCTATCTAGAGTTACTAGATAGAAAAAGAGACAGCGCTGAAAAATGAGAAACCTCTTCTTCCCCAAAAACCCAAGGCTATATTTCCATCCTACATAGAAACGAGGGTGAGAAGAACTAGAAAATGGGATACAGTCATAGCAAGCATGTTTACCCACAGGCTCAAGATTATCATCTCCGGCATAGAGACATCATAGTTGATGGGCTAGTGACACAGGTACAGCAACTGGCCCAAGGCAGAAAGCCTCTTTGTCCCTGCATGCTGAGACCCTCCTCCCATACGCAGAGATAGTTGGAGAAAGCATTAGGGAAATCCCATATCAAAACCATCCCCCACCAAGAGACATTCAAAAGCGTAGCTTGGAGAAGCTCCCTTAGCGCCATTAGGCAGCACCAGAGGGAGCCATTGAGAATTCCAGTGGCACCACCACAAGGGCTCTTAAACTGTGCTTTGAACAGTAGCCCACAAAATAGGCTAAGACCCACCTATTAAATCCATGCTGCAATAAACATGGGAGTATAGGTATCTCTTCGAGATGCCGATATCAATTATTCTGAATATATGCCCAATAGTGGAATTGCTGGATTGTATGGTAATTCTATTCATAACTTTTTCAGAGACCTCCATACTGTTTTCCACAGTGGCTCCAGCATTTTGGATTTTTACCCACAATGTATGCGTTTCCAATGTTTTCACATTTTCACAAACACTTTAACATTAGTTTTGTTTTTGATAATAGCCATTCTAACAAATGTGAGGTAATATCTGATTTGCATTTCCTTGATGATTAGTATTGTTGAGCATCTTTTTATGTACCTGTTGACAATTTGTGTATCTTCTTTATAGAAATACCTATTCAAGACTTGGATCATTTTTTAAAAATCTGGTTATTTGGGTTTTTTCTGTTCAGATATAGAAGTTCCTCATACATTTTGGATTAATATTAATCCCTTATCAGATACATGGTTTAAAGATATTTTCTCCCATTCCATAGGTTGCCTTTGCATTCTGTTATTTTCTTGGATGTGCAGAAGCTTTAGTTCCATTTAGTACCATTTTTTTCTTTGTTTTTATTGCCTGTGCTTTTGGTGTCATATTCAAGAAATCATTCCCAAGCCCAATGTCATGAAGATTCCCTCATAGGTTGACTTCTAGGAGTTTTACAGTTACAGGTCTTATGTATAAATCACTAATACATTTTGAGTTGATTTTTGTTTGTGAGATAAGATTCTACTTTTAATTTTTTTTGCTTGTGGATAACTAGCTTTTACAACACCATTTGTTGAAGAGTCTATCCCTCCCCCATTGTGTATTCTTGGCACGTTTGTTGAAGATCACTTGACCACATACCAATGGGTAGTCTTTTATCCCTCACCTGCCTCCTACCCTTCCCCTTGAGTCCCCAAAGTCCATTATATCATTCTTATGCCTTTGTATCCTCATACCTTAGCTTCCAGTTATAAGTGAGAACATACAATATTTGGTTTTCCATTTCTGAATTACTTCATTTAGAATAA
Source organism: Homo sapiens (assembly GCF_000001405.40). Classification (NCBI taxonomy): domain Eukaryota; kingdom Metazoa; phylum Chordata; class Mammalia; order Primates; family Hominidae; genus Homo; species Homo sapiens. The sequence continues at coordinate 89,466,359 of NC_000023.11, read as the reverse complement.
TGGTCTCCAACTCCACTTAGGTTGCTGTGAATGCCATTATTTTTTTTCCCTTTGATGGCTGAGTAGTATTCCATGGTGTATATATACCACATTTTCTTTATCTACTCTTTGGTTGATAAGCATTCAGACTGGTTCCATATTTTTGCAATTTTAAGTTGTGCCACAATAAATATGCATGTGCAAGTGTCTTTTTCATATAATGACTTCTTTTCCTCTGGGTAGATACACAGCATTGGGATTGCCAGATCAAACGACAGTTCTACTTTTAGTTCTTTAAGGAATCTTCATACTATGTTCCATGGTGGTTGTACTAGTTCACATTCCCACTATCAGTGTAACAGTATACCGTTTTCAACACATCCATGCCAACATATATTATTTTTTGATTTTTTTTATTATGGCCATTCTTGCAGGAGTAAGGTGGTATCTCATAGTGGTTTTAATTTGCATCACCCTGATAATTAGTGATGTTGAGCATTTTTTAATATGGAATGGGACTTCTAGAGAACTAGATTGCAGTGATTGTTATTTCTCTTCTGGGTCTAGCTACCCAGCAGGGCTACAAGGCGCCAGGCTAGTGCTGGAGAATGTCGGCAAAGAGTCCTGTGATGGGATCCATCTTCAGGTCTCCCAACCATGGATACCAGCACTTCCTCTGGTAGAGGTGGCAGGGCAATGAAGTAGACTGTGTGAGTCTTTGATTGTAGATATGTTAAGTGTGCTGGCTTTCTCAAATGCTGGTTATGCCAGCAGTGAAGTTGTCACATGAGCACACTCAGGAACTCTTTAACCAGGATGTTGCAGGAAGTCAAATTAGGTATTGTATTTTCCTTCCTGGGTCAGGGTTATTCTGTAATGAGTTGCTGTAGTGGCCTGTGTTCTTTGTCCTTCAGCAAAGAGGTGGTGCTTTTTGGAAAGCACCAGCTGCAGCAGTAGTGGGGATTCTAAGCTTGCCCTAAGTTGGCTAGGGTGATTATTTTGATTTCTAAGGAGGTGGGCAGGACTATAAAGCTCCCAAGAGTTTCTGTCTCTTGTGTTTGGCTATGAGGGCAGGTAGAGAAATACCATCAGGTGGGGGCAAGGTTAGGCAGATCTGGGCTCAAACTCTCTTTAGGCAGGGCTTGCCACAGCCACTTGGGTGATTTAGCAGTGGTTTTCAGTCCAATGGGGTTATGTTCCAGAGGGGATCTTGGTCATCTCTGCTGTGTCATATAGTTCACCAGGGAAGTGGTGGATAGGCTATAGAGAGAGGCCTCACCTAGCTTCCATGCAGTTCACAAGGCCAGTCTGAGTCCCCAAGTGCCCCATTCAGACCTTGCCCCAAGCTGTGGGCTTCCCTGCTGAGAACGCAAGCATAGCTTTCTTTTTCAAACCTTGTTCCTCCTCATCTGCCCACTTTGTCTGGGCAGCTGCTGCACTCCTGCACTTTTATCTGCAGCGGCTCTTGAATGTTCCCCAGACTCCACTGAAAAAAAATTGTTCCCAGTCAAAATCACTACCAATTTTAGTTGGATGCTTCCTTTGCCATGAAACACCTCCCCAATTCTGCTGACTGTTTCCTGAGGGGCTCTGTGAGGTATAGTCAAGGATGGCTTCCCTGGGCTCCAGCTGGAGACTGTGAGTATCTGCAAGGCACTTCCCACTGCTACTTCTACTTTTATATTTCACACAACTCCCTAAGCCTGTTTCAGCTCTAGGTAAGGGTAAATCCTTCTCGCATGATCTAGAGTTTTAAATTCCCCAGTGGGGATGTGTTTTGGAGATAGGTTTACCCCCTCTCACACTTTGGGAAGTCAAAGTTTTTCACCTGTTTCACAGAATTTGCAGCAGTGCACTGCTTCTTTCAAAGGATCTGTGAATTATTTTCTTTTTCCATTGTTATTCTATTCTCTCTTTCAATTATTTCTTCTGTAACCTGTACTACTATATTGTTCCTTTTGTTAACTTTTGGCTTAGTTTTTTTGTTTGTTTGTTCATTTGTTTTTTAGTTCCTTGAGGTTAAAACTAAATAGTTTGTGTAGATTTTTCAAAAGACACCCTGTCATTTACAACAACATAAATGAAACTGGAGGTCTGGTTCAGAGTATCAGAATGACAAATTTGTCATGTTCTCACTCATTTGTGGGAGCTAAAAATGAAAAGAAAAAAAAACTAATTAAGATAGAGATTAGAAGGATGGTGACCAGAGTTTCAGAAGGGTAGTGGGGAGGTAGGGTATCAGGCAATGATTAATGGATACAACAATATGGTTTAGGTAGAATGAATAAGATCTAGTATTTGATAGCACAACAGGGTTACTACAGTCAACAATAATTTATTGTATATTTTTAAATAAAATAGTAAAATTGCCATGTTTGTAACACAAAATAATGATAAATGCTTGAGGTGATGGATACACCATTTACCCACATGTTATTGCTACACATTGTATACCTTTACCAAAATATTTCATGTATCCAATAAATATATACCAACTATGTACCCATAAGATTAAAAATTAAAATATTGAATAAATAAAAAAAGATTAATTACTAATTTCTCATTAGAAACCATGATCCAAGGGGTAGTAGAATGAAATATTTAAAATGTTGAAAGAAAAAAGCCATGTAAAGCAAAAATTCTATATCTACCAAAAATCACCTTCAAGAATGTAGGAGAAATTAGGACATTCCAAAATGAACAAAAGCTGAAAGACTGTTACTAGCAAACATGACTCATAAGAACAGGTAAAAGATGAAATGAAAGGTCAGTAGAGAACAAATTCAAGTCCTATGAAGAAATGAAGAATACTAGAAATGATAACTACACAGGAAAATATAAAGGTCATTATTATTGTATTTTTGGTTGGCAACTGCACTTTCTTCCTATATGATATAAAAGTCAAATAAGATAATAATAATAAATCTATATTAATTAGTACATCATAAATAAACAAAATGGCAACATAAATTAGGATGGACAGAGAGTTGTGTGGGAGCACCATTTTTGTGTAATATTGAACCTAAGTTGGAATTAATTTAAATTAGATTTCTATAAATTTAAGATGTTCATTGTAATCCCTCAGGTAACCATTAAGAAAAAACGAGAATATGTATATACAAATAAAAGCAAGTAAATATAAAATAAACACACAAAAACGTAAATGAGAAGGGAATCAAAATGTATACATAAAAATAAACACAAAAGAAGACAGTAATAAACAAATGAAAGAACATAAGAGATACAAAACCTACAGAAAATAAACAACAATATGGTAGCATTAAGTTTTTCTTTAACAATAATTAATTTAAAACTGAATAGGTTAAACTCTCCAATTAAATGGTAGGTATTAAAGAAATGTATAAAATATACATAATTCAACTATATGTTGACTACAAGAGATTTACTTTATTGTCTCCCCAGCTTTATTAAAGTATGATTTCCAGATAAAAACTATATATTCAAGATATATTACTTTATATCCAAAAACACAAATGCGCTGAAAGTGAAAGAATGGAAATATATACTCCATGCAAATATTAATCAGATGAGAGCTAAGGTAGTTATACTCATACCAGGCAAAATCAACTTTAACATCTTTACATGAGACAAAGAAGGATGCAATATAATAATAAAAGTATCAATTCATTAAACATTTATAATAATTATAAAACATATATACACACACAACAGAATCTTAAAAAAGATGTGGTCAATTTTGGGAAAAAATATCAAAGATGATATCTTTAAATACAATATTAGTTAAAGGCTTCCATAGTCTACTTTCAGAAATAAATACAGTAAGATAGAAGATCAGCGAAGAAACTGAGGACTTGAAAAACCATAAACCAAGACCTGTCTGACCTACAGAGAATACTTCATGCAAAATCAGCAGAAAACACATTTTCACAAGTGCACATGAATCTTAGTCACGGAGATACCATCTGCTGACACAAAACAATGCTCAGTAAATTTTAAAAGATTGTAACATACAAAGTAGTTTATCTGATCACAATCGATTGAAATTAGAAGTGAACAACATAACAATAATTAGAGATTTCACAAACACATGAAAATAAAACAACCCACTCTTGAATAATTATTGAATCAAAAACAATTAAAAAATAAAATTAGAAAATACTTTTAGATAAGTGAAAATAAAACACGGCACACCAAAACTTATGTGATGCACCATAGGCAATACTTTAAAGAAAATTAAGAACTGTAAACATATACATTAAAAAAGAGAAAGATCCCAGATGAATTACCTAACTTTACCCTATAAGGAACTAGAAAATGAAGAGTAAGATGAACCAAATTACAGCAAAAAGAATAAAGTAATATAGAGTAAAAATCAATAAAATAGATAATAGCAAAAAATAGAGAATATCAATAAAACAAAAAGTTTATTTATTTGTCTGTTTAGTAATCTAAACAATTAAATTTCTTTGACTAGTGGACTAGTTCAGCGAAATCTATTTCCCCTGAGTGTCTAATATCACTTATCAGGTAGTGAAGTTCTGGTTATGTGCACAGTTACCTTGGTATGAGACCAGTTTTAGAAGAACTCTCTTTAGCTGTTTCTAGAGCTTCATTCCTTCAAGATATTCTTGCCTAGAATAGAGCTTCTGCCACATGAAATAGAGCAGATTAGAAATGCTTGTAGCCTGCCTCTATGAGGTACATATTATATCATAACCCTAGACTTGGGGCAGGGCACAGGGCAAGCCCTGATTTCTTGGCTATACCAATCTGAGTCAAATGTCCCAAACTTCTTGCTGCTCTTACCAAAGGTTAGTATATTTTCTTGACTAATATTTCTCCACTTGTTGCATAAAGTTAGAACAATTTCCAGAGACCTTATATGATAGTTTTTACTTATTTTTATTTTCTCTAGTCTTTTCATTTTTATTCATTTAATTTTTATGTTTTGATTCTCAACTATTCTGTTCCCTACATGTGCAGACAAAAGTCAGGTAATATGCATGCATGAATAAAAGAAATTGAATATAGGTTTCAGTCAGCCATTCTTTTGAGCAAGACCGTGCTGAGAGGAGGAAGGCAAGGCTAAGGCCTTGGACCTCTGCAGTGGGGCAGTTCTACTCTAACACAGGCGTGGAGGCCCTGGAATGTGCAATTTCTTCCTTTTTTTAAAAACTTTCATTTGAGGTTCTGGAGTTTATGTAATGGTTTATTATATAGGTAAACTCTTGTTACAGGGATTTGTTGTACAGATTATTTTATCATCCAGGTATTAAGCCTAGCATCCAATAGTTATTTCTTTCTCTGCTTCTCCCTTCTCCTACCCCTCATCCTCAAGTATACCCCAGTGTCTGTTTTTCCCTTTTTTGTGTTTGTGAGTTCTCATAATTTAGCTTCAATTTATAAGTGAGAACATGTGGTATTTGGTTGTCTGTTTCTGTGTTAGTTTGTTAAGAATAATAGCCTCCAGCTCCATCCATGTTCTGGTAAAAGGCATGGTCTTCTTTTTTATGACTGCATACTATTCCATAGTGTATATATACCACATATTCTTTATCCAATCTGTGATTGATGGACATTTAGTTGACTCCATGTCTTTGGTATTGTGAATAGTGCTGCAATGAACATTTGCGTGCATGTGTCTTTATTGTAGAATTACATATATATATATATATATATATAATTCTCTCTCTATATCTCTCTATATATCTATATATAATTCTATATATCTATATATATAAATATATATATATAAAAATATATATTTTATATATATATTATATATATATATATATATTCCTCTGGGTATTAGTTCAACCATTGTGGAAAGCAGCATGGAGATTCCTCAAACTCTGAAAACAGAACTACCTTTCAACCCAGCAATCCCTTTACATGATGATTTTGAAATAATTTTTGTTATTTGTGATTGTTCCTCTAAGGACATTCTTGGAGTTCTTCATGCCACTTTTCTGGCTTATATAACATGTTTGAAATTATAACATTTTAAAAATGGGAGACAGAATGGTAGTTGCTAAGGATTAAGACAGAAAGGAGGGTGGGAGTCATGAGTTTGTCATTATAAAAGGGCAATGCAAGGGATTCTTGTAATGTTAGAGCAGTTGATCATTTTGACTGTAGCGTGAACACATAATTTACAAATGTGACAAAATTGTATACAGATCAGCATGCACAAAAACATACAAAGGCCAGCCGTGGTGGCTCACATCTGTAATCCCAACACTTTGGGAGGCTGAGTCGGGTGGATTGCTTCGGGCCAGTAGTTCAAGACCAGCCTGGCCATCATGGCAAAACACCGTCTCTACTAAAAATATAAAAATTAGCCAAGCTTGTTGGCACATGCCTGTAATCCAGGTACTTGGGAGGCTGAGGCAGGAGAATCCCTTGAACCTGGGAGGCGGAGGTTGCAGACAGCCAAAATCACACACCACTGCACTCCAGCCTGGGTGATAGAGCAAGACTTTGTCTCAAGAAGCAAAAAAGAAAAGAAAAAGAAAACATACACGAATGAGGACAAGCAAATCTGGGAAAATCTGAATAAGATCAATGAATGTTATCAATGTCAAAATTCTGTTTGCAATATTATACTATAATTTTGCACAATGTTATCAGGAAGAAACTGGGCAAGATTTATAAAACCATCTCTGTGTTATTTTTTCCAACTGCCTATGATTCTTCGAAAATATCAATAAGTATTTCAATTGTGAAAAGCGTTAAGTATTTCAAAATAGCCATAGCTATTTAAAACTAGTAGTTAACACTTGATCATGTCACTTTGTATAATTCATATCAGAAACTGGCTGAAGGTGGTTATATTTTTCTTATGTATATTAATAGCACTTGTAATAACTTGTAATTTCTTATGTATATTAATAGCACTTGCAATAAAAAGAAAAGTAACTTTGTTTGACTCTCGATTTTTTTTCTTCTGAACATGGCAATATAACTTTAATAAAAATAGTGTTGAAATATTTAACAAGACAGCAAAAAATTTACTTACATTGAAGAGTGCCATGGAATATAGCATAAGCTTAACTTAGGAATTTTATGGCTTCAATGCATAGATACATATAAAAGTCCAAAAACAAGGTAAGTATCTAACTTAAAAACTTAAAAACCACACAGATAAAACCAAGTAAACAAGAATAAAAGAAATAATATATAGCAGAAATTCATGAAAAATAAAGCAAAAGCTCAAAGTGAAGCTGTAGAGAAAATATTTTTGTTTCTGCATGCTAGGTTTTTTTTTAGTAAATCGTACTAAAACTTGGAATCTGAACTTATCAACAAGTCTAGAAGTTAAATTATGACAGATAATAGTGACAGACCACCTACAAGGAGTTTCCTTCTGAAAATATATATGTTGAGATTTCAAAGGAGAATGAAACTTTGGATTATAGAGAGATGTCTTGGGTTATAAAGATGGAGACATTTTATAAAGACACTAGTCTCATCTTTCTACTGGAGAAACTTATTTACATTACAAAGTGTGAGAGTAAAAACTAAGAATTCTTCTCAAGGAGAAAAGTATTTTTCTCCTCCTTTCATTAGGGGATGACAAGAAACTCTCTCTTCTATATAAATGCCCAGATTTATACTTTTGGTATTTTTTACCTACTCCAATATGCACATGATGACATTTGTCTCTCATAGTTTTATGCTAGGGTTAAGCACTGAGGCAAAGGGAAATTAGCATAGCTACTATTATGTATATAATAATAATAAACCTGCCCTTATCCAGAAGCCTGGTATTTGCATTCAAAACAATATTAATATAATTATTAAAAATATAACACTAACACATATAAAAATTTGGTTCTTTGAAAAGATTGATAAAATGTTTAAACAAATAGTTAAGAAAAATAAGAATTCCAAAGAAATACTAATACTAATGAAAAGATATAACCACAAATAGAGAAGAGGTTTAAAAGAGAATAAAAACATAGTATGAGAATACTGATATCTGTAAATTTGAAAACTCAGATGATATGGACAAATATCAAAAACTGATTTAACAAGTAGGAAACCTGATTTAGCTTAATTTAAAAAAAATCTTCACACAAAGAAGATTTTTTGGTAGGTCTAAATAATCTTCATGATCAATGCCAGATTCCTGTTTATTGGGGTCTTCTAATCATCCAAATTTTGGTGGCTTATCTAAAATTTGGTAGGGCACTATTACAAAAATTTGAAGGGAGAAATAATTCCAATTTTATATATACTAGTCAAAGAAATTGGAAAAATTAGATTATTCTTCAACTATGCTATAAAAAATAAAATCTTAATACCAAAATGAAACTTACAATATTAAAAAATATAGACCCATGTTACTTATGAATTTAGAAGTAAATATTCTGAATAAAATATTAGTAAACAGAATTGAATAAACCCTTAAAAATATAGTAAATCATGACCATTATGGTTAAAGAGTGATTTTATATAAGCAAATTTTCAAACATCATTTACCACTTTAAGAGACTTGATGAAAAAATTGTATGATAATATCAAGAGTTACAGAGAAAGATTGAAGGTCAGTTCACTTAAAGTATAAGGAACAACAGTCAAGGAAACATTAACAAGCAAAATTTCTTGGCTGAAATAAAAACTTAAAAGGTTTTAATGGTCATCACAAATCAGATCTCAGACATCAACAGCAATCATCATTCATAATGGTAACCTAATAAAATTGTGCTCATTTAAATGAGGAAAAATAGAAGAATATTCTCTATCTTCACTTCAGTTCAACCACATCTTGGAAAGCTCAGCCAGTTCACTACATCAAGAAAAATGCAAAGAAAAGCAATAATGCATTATATGCATCTGATATTATTGTATGAATAGAAACACTAATAGAACTACAGATGCTCTATTAGATTTAATTAGAAAGTTTAACCAAAAAATCATAATCTAAAAATTAATAGCAATTGTCTACTCCAATAATTAGGAAATTCACTTTAAATATTTATTTAAGATAGCAACAATAACCCTGAAAAGATCTAGAAAAGTATAAAGTTTTATTCATTATCAACAAGAAACATCTATATAAATAGAGAGGCATAAAAATAAGTCAAATCTCCTCTCAGTTATTTTTATAATAAGTGATATGACGAACAAAATTTGAACAGAATTTGAAGGGCACTTGGAAATTAATTTCTGAAATTGATGTGGGAGAGGAAGCAAAATGACATACAGATTAAACTGTAAAAATAGTTAAGCTATTAGCACTATTTTGGGAACATAAATCAGTACATATAAACGTATTGCATTTCTGTACAACAGCCACAGATCTGGAAAGTATAATTTAAAAAAACTATCACTTACAATAGCAACATGCTGATTCTAAAACCTATATGGAAAGAAGTGATTCTAACATATACAATTGTATGTTGAAAAAGAAAATATCGTGGGAGAATTCAACCTTCAATATATCAAAGTACATTATAAAGTTATTGTATTTGTCAGGGTTTACCAGAGAAACAGAACCAAGTATGAGCTAGTTGATAATGATGATAACGATAGATAGATAGATAGATAGATAGATAGATAGATAGATAGATGATAGATAGATATAGATAGATGATAGATAATAAATAGAGACAGAAAGAAAAGAAAATCAATTATAGAAAATTTCTTCATGCAATAATGAAGGTTGAGAAGTTCCATGATCTGTTGTGTGCAATCTGGAGACCCAGAAAAGCCAATGACATAATTCACTCTGAGTCAAAGACCTGAAAACCAGGGAAGCTGAATCCCAGTTCGAGAGCCTTAGAAGATGAGATAAGATGCCCCAGCTTAAGTAGGCAGAGAGGAAGAAAATGAAAAAGTGAATTCCTCCTTCCAGGAATTAAAATGTTAATTTAACACTCAAACACCCTCATGACCACACCAAGAAATTATATTTAATTTGGTCACCTCATAGCTCATCAAGTTGACACATAAAATTAACCATCACAATTACTTATATGTAACATAGAGAGTAGTAGTAACATAGGGATAGATCCATTAGGAAAAGACGGACTGATTATTCAATAAATTGTTATCACACACTCAGATATCCTTATGGAAAAATCATTCAAAATCCAAATTTTATAAGATTAATAAAAATCAACTTTGAATATATTATGGATTTAGATATAGGTGACTTTTAATCATTTAGCCATTGTATCATCAACTTCAGAAACATTTCTGCCAATTTTTAAGTCATTTTTATAGGCTCATTACCAATAATTCGCTGAAGCAAACTACCTATTTATATACACCCTGGGTTTCATTGTATATGTTAATTCATTCACAATAGTAATAAATAAGTTTCATTTATATCTACTACCATGTCACCCAGCTGTATACTCTTTTCTCCACCAGCTTCTGTGGCTCTTGCTCTCTATCACATAATTACATTACTAGCTTATAAGTGTTCATCCAGCACTCACAGGCCCCAGAGGCCTGCTGCTTAAAAGAGGTACTAGTTACCCATAGGACCTATAGCAATGGTATCAGAACGGTTTCTACCTCCACCACTGTGGTCTCCATCCATGGGAGAAGATCCCAATAAACAGTAATCTGGGCCAGGCGTGGTGGCTCACACCTGTAATCCCAGCACTTTGGGAGGCCGAGGTGGGCGGATCACTTGAGGTCAGTAGTTTGAGACCAGCCTGGCCAACATGGCAAAACCCCGTCTCTACTAAAAATACAAAAATTAGCCAGGCACAGTGGTGTGCAGCTGTAATCCCAGCTACTTGGGAGGCTGAGGCAGGAGAATTGCTTGAACCCAGGAGGTGGAGGTTGCAGTGAGCAGAGATGGTGCCACTGCACTCCAGCCTGGGTGACACAGTAAGACTCCATCTCAAAAATAAAAACAAAAACAAAAACAAACCAGTAATCTGGCACTGATCATGTAGAACACTGAATACAATACTGTATATATTCCCCCATGCCCCCAAAGCAGCATTGATGTTCTATTTGCCATATACATCACACCTGACCTACCTACTCTGCTCACCTCTGGGGTTCTGTTGAGGTTCTGATTTTTATGTTTTAAATGTATATCTGTCTTCACAACTATGGAAGCATAATTAAACTTTTGAAAAAATGTACTTACCAATGAAACAGAACAGGATGTTTTAAAAGTTAAAATGACACTCCAGCCTGGGCGACAAGAACGAAACTACGTCTCCAAAAAAAAAAAAAAGTTAAAACAAAGTAAGTAAAAGGCAAAACTTTAGAACTTTCAGAAGAAAATATAGAGATATCTTTATGCTTTTGGGAGTAGAGATGGATTTCATGAGCTAGACCCATAAGAAAATGCTGCAACTGACTATATTACATTAAATAATTATTTTTATTATAAACACCATAAAAGGAGACAAAAATGACAATTCACAAAGCGGGTGAAAATATTTGCAATATTTATCACTTAAAAAGTCATCCCTATAAATTATATAATACCTGAAAATCAAAAAGAAAGGGACAACATACATAATTTTTGGAAAAAATAACAAAAACAGGAAAAGGAGTTACATAAAATAGGAAAAAAAGGTGCAAATATATACCTGAAATAATGCTGGAACTACTACTAATTAGAGAAATGTAAATCAAATCTACAAAGAAATATTTTAGCATGTTCAAAAGTCAGCCATAAAAATTATAAGTTTTAAGATGTCAGGTACACACCTTGACATGTATAGATTAAAGGAAACTGCTATAGACTCTTCATAAAAATGTAACTTGTACAAACAACTTAGCAAACAAATTGGAATTATCTTGTAAAGCTTAAAATTGAGGAATCTTACTCTCAGGTGAATATCTCAAAAATGTGTGTCTGTTTGCAAGTGACGTGTACACAAATGGTCAGGAGACCATTTGTATAATAATCAAAACCTGAAAACAACCCAAATGATGATCAATCAGAGAATAGATAAATACATTGTAGTACATGCACACAATGAATTTTACTACCACAGTAATATTAATGGGGCTCATGCATCAATCTAGATAAATGTTAGAAGCACAATGAAAACCACAAATCATAAAATTGTATACAATTTTAAAATGGTAAGCTGAAGTAAATTTTCCAAAATAAGGTCCATAGATTCATCTATAAAGTGAGGATATATACAAAATTTTGGATAGTCATTATTTTAACAATAAGAGGCATGGCTAGAGCCATGTAAGCTTAGAAACTTGCATGTTATTGTTGTATAGGAATGCTACTGATTTTTGCACATTGATTTTGCATCCTGACACTTTGATGAAGTTGTTTATCAGATCAAGGAGTTCTTGGGCAGAGACTATGGGATTTTCAAGGTATAGAATTATATCATTGGTAAAAAGGGATAGTACGACTTTTTCTCTTCCTATTTGGATGGATTTTCTTTATTTCTCTTGCCTGAATGCTCTGACCTGGACATCCAGTATTATGGTAAATAGGAGTGGTGAGATTGGGCATCCTCGTCTTGTTCCGGTTTTCATGGGGAGTGCTTCTAGCCTTTGCCCATTCAGTACGATGTTTGCTATAGGCTTGTCATAGATGGTTCTTATTATTTTAGAGTATGTTTCTTCAATGCCCAGTTTGTTGAGGGTTGTTAACATGAAGAGATGTTAAATTTTGTCAAAAGTCTTTACTGCATCTGTGGAGATAATCATGTGATTTTTGTTTTTTTAGTACTGCTTATGTGGTGAATATCATTTATTGATTTGCATATGTTGAACAAACCATGCATCCTAGGGATAAAGCTTACTTGATTATGGTGTATTAGCTTTTTTATGTGCTGCTGGATTTGGTTTGCTAGTATTCTGCTGAGGATTTTTGCGTCAATGTTCATCAAGGATATTTGCCTGAAGTTTTTTTTTTGCTGTGTCTCTACCAGGTTTTGGTATCAGGATGATGCTGGTCTCAAAGAATGAGTTAGGGAGGAGTATCTCGTTCTCAATTTTTTGGAATAGTTTTAGTAGAAATGGTACCAGTTTATTTACATACACACACACACACACACACACACAGATATACACATCTTGTAGAATTATGCTGTGAATCCATCTGGTCCTGAGCATTTTCTTGTTGATAGGCTTTTTACTACTGATTCAATTTTGGAAATAATTATTGGTTTGCTCAGGGATTCAATTATTTCCTGCTTCAATCTTGAGAAGTCGTAGGGTTCCAGGAATTTATCCATTTCTTCTAAGTTTTCTAGTTTGTGTGCATAGAGGTGTTCACAGTAGTGTCAGGGTTTTTCGGGTTTTTTTTGTTTTTGTTTTTGTTTTGTATTTCTGTGGGGTCAGTGATAATGTCCCCTTTGTCATTTCCGACTGCATTTGTTTTAATATTTCTCTATTTATTTACTAGTCTAGCTAGCAGCCTATTTTATTAATTCTTTCAAAGAACCAACTCCTAGATTCGTTGATTTGTTGGTATGGTTTTTGTGTCTTAATTTTCTTCAGTTCAGCTCTGATTTTGAGTATTTCTGGTCTTCTGTTAGCTTTGGGGTTGGTTTGCTCTCATTTCTCTAGTTCCTCAAATGGTGATGCTCGGTTGCTCATCTGATATCTTTCTAACTTTTTGATGTGGGCATTTAGTGTCATAAACTTCCTTCTTAACACTGCTTAACGGGGTCCCAGGGATTCTGGTATGTTGTACCTTTGCGTTAGTTTCAAAGAACTTCTTGGTTTCTCCTTTAATTTCATTATTTATCCAAAAGTCATTTAGGAACATGTTGTTTAATTTCCATGTAATTGCGTAGTTTTTAGTGATTTTTTTTTCAGGCTTGACTTCTATTTTTATTGCACTGTGATCCAAGAGTCTGTTTGGTATAATTTCAGTTATTTTGCATTTGCTGAATATTGTTTTATGCCCAATTATGTGGTCAATTTTTGAGTATGTGCCACGTGGCAATGAGAAGAATGTATATCCTGGTTTCGGCTAGAGAGTTCTGTAAAGGTCTATCAGATCCATTTTGTCCATTGTTGAGCTTAGGTCTTGAATATCTTTGTTAATTTTTTGCTTCTATGATCTGTCTAATGCTATCAGTAGAATGTTGAAGTCTCTCACTATTATTGTGTCGCAGTCTAAGTTTGTAGGTCTCTAAGAACTTGCTTTATGAATCTGGGTGCCACTGTTTTGGGTGCATATATATTTAGGATAGTTAGGCCTTCTTGTTGAATTGAGCCCTTTAGTGCTATGTAATACTCTCCTTTGTCTTTTTTGATCTTTGTGGGTTTACAGTCTGTTTTATCTGAAATTAGGATTGCAACCCCTGCTTTTTTCTGTTTCCCATTTTCATTCTCCCCAGCAAAGCTTTTGGACAGGAAAACTGACCTAATTTCTGACTGTTCCCTCCCAGTGTCACTTGTCCACATTATGCCATGCTCTCTGGCAGCTGTGTTTCCATACAGCTCTTATGGAAATTACATTTAGTTTTTTAAAATATAAAATAGAATAGAAAATATAAGTGAGGCTAGAGCTGAATTTGAGTAAATGTTTTTATCTACACAATTCATATTACAGTGCAGGAAAATTCAATGGCCTATCACATAATAAAGTTAACAAATTTAACTGAATCATCCAGATAATTCTGGGTAAGGTATTTGTCTCTTATCTTCAAATGCTACTAAAAAGTAGAAATAACTATTATACTTTTAACTAATAAATTTAAAAATTATAAATGACTGAAATTAGGGTAAAAGGAACTTTTGCATCTCACATGTAATGATCTAGGAGGATAGTACAATGTATGTATCACAATGAAGGGCATTCTGTGCAAAAATTAAGAGAAATGAATGGGAGAGTCTACCATCCCCACTTCCTTTCAGGGGGAATATATAATGAGTTGAATAAATCTTAGGAGATCATATACAATCTTAATATCACAGATTGGATGGAATGATAAGGTGACCAAGGTGTTGCCGTGTGCTGTGTGTGGAAATCTGCACTTTATTATCAAACGTCAATTGATGTACATGGTGCAAAACGAGGTGTGATTTTTCTTCCATTAGAGCAACTTAATTATGTTCATTTTTTAAAAGGTATATATATACTTTCAATACAATATTATCTGGGAGAAGCCATTCATTCAGATCTTTGTATTATTATAATATTATAGTTATAACTAATTATAATGATAACCTTTCCACATCTAGAATTATTCATTTATTCAATTTGTCAGGAAGATATTAATATAATAGTTCTAACCTGGCAGATATGTATGATATACATTCATGCATGTACACACATACCTATATCTATGTTTATATTGATATACAGTTATAAATATATACAGATGACCTCTACTTAACTATGGTTCAACTTATGATTTTTTGCCTTTGTGATGGGTTTATTGGGGTGTGACCTCATTGTAAGTCAAGGAACAGCTGAACTTATGATAGTTCAACTTATTATTTTTTTTTTTACTAACAATGTGTTTACTGGGGTATTAAATGCATTGTGATTTCCAAAATTTTTGAGTTATTATGAGTTTATCAGGGCATAAATCTATCATAAATCAAGGAGCATCTGTATATGTGCAAAATATGCTGAAAGTTACTACATCAGTGAGGATTTAAAAACATATCTTTCAGTAATTGATGGGTGAAACAGGTAAAAATTGTGATTAAGAATATTTGGGTAACATATAGTAAGAATGATCAAATGAGTATACATAGAACACTATACCAAAGAACTGACGAATATACAGTTTCAAGAAACAGGAAACATTCATGAAAATCAACAATATAATAGGAAGTAGAGCAATTCTCAGTGGTTTTCCAATATTAATTTCATACACATAATAATCTCTAACTGCAATGTTATTAATTTTTAAATAATACAAAGATAACTCACAATATCATAAGCTTGGAAATTTAAAAATACTTTTCTACATAAATTAATGCTAAATAAAAAATCCCAGTGGGGAATAAGTGATCTTTAGAATTGAAGAAAATAAAATAATATTACATATCAATAATCATGAGATGCATTTAATGCAAAAAGTGAAATATTTCTGATATTACAAGCTTAAATTTGAACAATTCTTACAGATTATTTTTAACTGAAGTCAATCCTGAAATTTTAAATGGAAGTACAGTCAAGGAACCAAAGGCCAAAGAGCCAAGTGTAACCCAGAAGAAATAAGATATGAAAATTTGCTACAGCAGTGATTAAAATTTACTATCAAACAATTGCAATTAACACTGCATGGTGTGAGTGCAAGGATTGAAAGCTAATAACACGTTAGAGAGTCAGGAAATACACCTGCAAAAATATGAACACCAGATATTGTATAGAGGTAAAAGTATAGACTAGTCAGTCAGTGGCCCTGAGATAAGTATTTATCCAGAAACTATAAAGCAAGCAAAATAGTGTATCCGTCATGACATATGCAAAAGTTAATTTCCAGTATATCAGAGACTTAAATATGAAAGGCAAATTTAAATAATTTTTTCAGGAATATAAATGGAGGTATTTTTCTGATATATAGATAATTTTTAAGAGAAATAACATACTTAAGTAAAAGAAACTAGTAAGTATTGATAAATTAATCTATTTTGAATTGTGGACTTTTCATCATCAAAAGATGCCATAAAAATAATTTTCACTCTGAGAGCAGATCTTTGCAACATAAAAAACCAGTGTAGGATTAATGTCCATAACATATTAAGAAATTCATATAAACCAAAATGTCAAACCACCCAATTAAACTGCAGGCAAAAGATGCAAACAAGTATTTTATGGAAGAGAAAATCTGAATAGCAATAACATATAAAGGTGATCATCTTGTAACCGACGCAGTCATTCCATTTTGGAAACAAATAACTATTCTTTCTTTTACAATACCTAACTGTGTGCTTGCTTAAGAATTCCAAGAACTAACCCCAAGATAAAACCAAGGCTGTGAAATGTTCTTAATGGAAAAAAAATGCTGAGCAGTTAATCTTCAATCTTATTAGAGGTTGGATGATGCCAGCTACACCTCTTGATGCCCATTCCTCATGATAGTCGTTGGAAAAAGACATTCTGAAATGCATAGCTAACTCCTGTACATAGTTTCCCAAGCCCTTTCCCCTTTAAAACCCCTATGTCCAGGCTGAGAAACTTGAGATGGTCTTTGCTATGCAAGTCCACCATCTCCTTGGATTGTCAGCTCCTGAATAAACCTGCTTTTCTCTTCCACCAACGCTTGCCTCTCAAGTTTTGGCTTTCAATTGGCAAACAACTGAACCTGAGTTCAGTTACAATCTCATTACTAATCAGGAAATTAAAAACACTGCGTAATACATATACAATCTGATTTAAAGTATTACTCAATCATGTGAAGCCAAGGGAGCTATGGAAATGTAAAATGTTACAACTGTTCTAAAAAGCAAGTTAGAAATATCTTGGCAAAGCAGAATTTCCAAACAGCTGATGCTTAAACAACTCCATATCCAAATATGTACATTAAAGAATAAATATTCAAACTGATGTATGCTATAATGTACCTCAGGGGTAAACTCAGACAGATCTTCAGTTTCTATACATATTTCCTCCAAATATTGACCTCACTGAGAAGTCCCTGTTTCCGCTTTTGCAAGTCCTCAGTCATAGCTGCCAATCTCCAGTTTAACAAAATAAAGGTAGCCATTTCTCCTATCTGGAACATTACAATAGTACATTAGAGTGTACCAATCTGTAGAGCATCCTACAAGGAAACAGTATGAGCATACAAAGTTTCTGAGGAAGATTTTTATTGTGAAAGCAAACTAAAAAGATGTGTAAAAAATATTGCCTTTATTTCACCTAAGTACAAAACTACTATCAAAAATTTTTGTCTGTTTCAATCAATCACTCTATCAATCATCTATTTATCTGCATACTGTATCTACCTAGGAATCTTTAAAAATGAGATGTTTAATGGGCATCTTAAGCTTTATTGGAGTTCAAAAGTGAAATTATTCTTATTGGTAATGCAAGTAATTTTTGGCTGATTCTCAGCGTGGGAACTGTTTTGCCAATTAGAGTATATAGTAGACATTTTCCCAAATTGTATGAGATAAAGCTATAGCTTTAAGGGTTTGAGGAAAACACATTTTTAAGACACATTTATAGTATGCTAGAAATTAAATATTTTTGCAATTCTTTTACATAAAAATATTTAGACACCAACCCAAACATATGTGAAGTGGACATAGTTTTTTTCAGTTGTATTAAAGAAAAAAGTTTGAAGATTGCTGCTGAAGAGATACTCCCATGTTCAATAGAAAATGTGCACATAATGTTCATAGCATCATTATTTGTAACATCAAAAAAATAGAAGCAACCAAAATAACCACTAGCCAGGGGATACATCGATATAATTGTGCTATTTTCATATGGTAGAGAACTGCAGAGCAGTGAAAATAAATAACCTACATATATATCAAGAATATGGATGAATGTATCTTGCAGATATTGTTGAGTAAACTAATAAGAAAATCAAGAATGTTATATATGCTGATTCCAGGAAAGTTGCTCTTTCCAGGGTTGTTGAAGGGAATGAGATTCATGAAAGTAAATGAAATGTTTCAAGACTATGAATAATCATCTATTTTTTAAAAAATAGTATGATTGTTAAATGGTTGTAGGTTTTATGATCCTTTTAAATGGTTAAAACTACATATGATTTTATGTGTCACATACATATCAACACACACACATACGTATATCATATACCACACACAAACACACACACAGACACACACAGAGCCATATATAAAGATAAAACTTTCTACCAGAAAAGTAACCTCTGAAAATTTTAAAGATACTTGAAAGTATTATGTACATATATACTATGGTCAATGTGAAAAGGCATTCTGTTATTTTAAATCTGAAGGCACAGCTTAAATCATGTTTTTATTTTATTTAATTCAGAAAAAGTAACTAGTTTTTGAAATTGCTATATTTGGTTTGATGCGAAAAAAATAAGTGGGAACAGATGCAAGTAGTGTCTGTGGTGAAATCACTCAGAAAGAGTGAGCAAAATATGTTTAACATTCTTCTGAGAAAGGGAATGCCAAAATAATTCTGTCACATGGCTCTCAATTTTTAAAGATGGTAAAATATGACTATTCATTAGGAAGAATAGGGTTTCTAAATCTGGAGATTATTGGCATTTTGAGTTAGATAATTATTTGTGGTGGGGGGCTGACCTATGCATTGTAGGACCTTTCACAGCATCCATGGCATCTGCCTACTAACATCATCCACGCAGTTTTGACCATTGAATATGTCTCCATAAATAACACGTCTTCTGGAGAATAGGGGTGTGTAAAATCACCATAGTTAAAAAGCCCTGATCTAGTGTTAGGGAAATAATGGGATACACACACACACACACACACACACACACACACACACACACACACATATATATTCATATTTTCCATATAAATATTCTGAATATAAATATACGTATTTTTAATATATTCCAATTAATATATCAGTTGAATATAAATATACATTGAATTACCATTGTTTATGACTGCTGTTGAGAATGCCACTGGGAATCAAGCTTTTGAAAGTCATGTAGGCAACATGTAACAACAGTCTTAATCTATATCTCTTGTTCCAGAAATTCAACTTTCAGAAAGGAAGAAATAATAAATCATTAATAGCAAATGTTGATGTCAATCTAAATCTCCATAATAGAAAAACTGTTAAACTGATCATTGGTAAAGACAAACAGTAGAAAACTAAACAATATTTTAGCTAATTACACTTAAAGACATGAAAATAACATATAATGTACAAAAGTCTCTTTTGCCATGCTAGGTGACATATTCACAGGTTTTGGGGATTAGATTGTGGGCATCTTTTGAGAGCATTATTCTGTCTACTACACAAACCCAGAACTCATCACTATCCTACAAGGTAAAAACTTGAACATTAAAGCAAATATTACAACTCAACTTCGGCTCTTTGAGGCAGAGACCAGAACTAAATGCTTATTTAATAAAAAGTGCACCCGGATGTGATTTTGTTAAAAGTAATTAAAATGACAGAAAACATACCTTACAAAACATGAACAGAAAATAAAATCCAAAAGAAGATAGCAAAAACATCAAAAAGTATAATGGCTATTTGTCATGCTTATAAATCAATAATAGAAGTTTTGTATGATTAGTATTGCTTTAAGAGTAGTTATGTTATGCAAAATTATTTGTTATAAAAGGAGCTCTTCTGTATAACTTTCATTGTCTTTTAACAGAGCATACACATTTGCTTTTTGCTTTGTTACACTACTTGAATAGTGTCTTCAGATAGCTCTAAGAAAAATGGTTATCAAAAAAAAGAAGCTACACTATTAAGAAGCAGTAGTCACTACAGAAAATATTATTAGCTCCTTTTGCTTTAAGAGAAAATACTATATTGAATTTGTGTAAATGAGACAATTTTCTATGTTGGCACATATTTAACACTAATCTATCTCTAAGGTACAGTAGTCTTCCATTACCCTTGTTTTCACTTTCTGGGGTTTCAGTTACCCACCATCAACTGCAGTGTGAACATATTACATACAATAAGATATTTTCAGATAAATAAGATATTTTGAGAGAGAGAGAAAGAGAGAGAGAGAACTACATTCACATAACTTTAATTACAGTATATTATATTATTATGACTTCTATTTTATCAGTTAGTGTTAATATCTTATTGCGTCTAATTTATAAATTAAATATCATCATAGATGTGTGCACAGGAAAAAACATACTACATATAGGGTTCAGTATTAACAGTAGTTTCAGGCATCCACTAGGTATTTTGGAACCTATCCCCCACAGATAAGCAGGACCACTATCATATTTTCCTCTGAAATCATTTTTGATAAATTCTATAACTTGTTTTTATCTATATCTTTTTTATATCCTCAAAGCTCCTTTAGTTTTCATTAAAAGCTTGCCAATTGCTTGATTTGCCACATAATTCTGAAAGATCACACTCATGACTGTGTCAAGGCTTAGAAAGTACTACATTGAAAAAATGACACCTTGGTTGTGACTCTCTGATCTCGCTTCTCCCCTAATGATCCTCATGGAACAGGGGTCCTGCTCCATACTCTAGGGGAAGAAATATCATACAGAGATGCAGGAAATAATCTGAACAAACAGTCCTTGCTGAAGTTTATCTCAGTTTATATAATGTCATTAGATTATACTCTTTTTTTCCTAATCATGTTTTTTCACAACTATCGACTTTTTTCTTCATACTCAGCATAAAAATACACCATTTTCTCTAGGTTTTTTGGTTTGCATTGATTTATGAAGGCTCTCATGTCACATAAAACTTTGGTTAAATAAATAAATGATGATTTTCTCTTGTTAATCTGTCTTTTGTTATAGGGGTGTTGGCTATGAACACCCTTGTGATGGGAGAGGAAAACATATCACTTTTTTCTCCCCTACAGCAGGTGGTCAATCTTTCCTTCAATTCTTCTCTAATATTTTAAAAGTAGGGTTTGTGTATCTTTAAGAGCCTATCTCTCTGGATGCCTACAAAAACAAGATATGGTATACGGTTTAAGCATGTTTTTTTTTTTTTTTTTTTTCTCAAGATAGACAGTCATTCTGAGGGGAGAGAGACAAAAATACTGAACATGAGTCCAATTATTTTAATGTTTAGCTCCCTAATATAATTGCATTGTTTGTAGCACAAAGGATAAATGCTTGAGTCGAAGGAAACCCCATTTACCCTGATGTGATTATTATGCATTTTTGCATGCCTGTATCAAAATATCCCATGTGACCCATAAATATATATACCTACCATGTATTCACAAAAATTAAAAATAAACACAATTTAAAATACAAAACAAAATAAAACATTGGACATTTAGAAAGAAATAAAGACAAGGGATAAAAAAACTCTGGTGATAATCAAATCACTGGCCATCCTTTGTTTTTTTTCTCCTTCCATATTTTTATTATTTTATAAGGTCCCTGGGATTCTTCCAGTACACTTTGATTTGTGCTTAATTTCATTTTCTGTAACTCACAATCAAGAGTCATTGAAAATAGAAGAGAAAAACCAGTGGACACCTGTGATAGTTAATTTTAGTTGTTGACTGGATTGAAGGATGCCTAGATGACTAATAAAACATTGTTTCTGGATTTGTCTGTAAGGGTGTTTTTGGAGAAGAACTGGTATGTGAGCCAGTCAACTAAGTGGGGAAATTCCACCCTCAACATGGGCAAACACCATCCAATTGGCTAAGGGCTCTTATTAAACAAAAAAGGGTAGAAGGGTCAATTATATCTTTCTCTCTTTTGGAGTAGCACACCCTTCTGCTGCCCTTGAGCATCAAAACTCTAGGTTGTTCTGCCATTTGACTCTGGGAATTGCACTTGCAGTCTACTGGGGCTCTCCTGCCATTGGACTCAGATTGAGACTTCCATCGTTGGCTTTCTCGGTTCTTAGACCTTCCAAATTGGACTGAGCATGCTAGTAGTTTCTCTGGTTCTTCAGCTTACAGATGATCTAGTGTGGGACATCTCAGCTTCCATAATAATTTGAGCCAATTCCCCTATTAACCCCTCACATATATTTATTTTCCTATCTATCTATCTATCATCCATCTATCTATCTATCTATCTATCCATCTATCACCTATCTATCTTTATATCTATTTATCTTTTGATTCTGTGTCTCTGGAGAATTTTGACGAATACAGAACCATAAGTAAAACATTTTTGTGTGTTTTTTCATGAAACGATTCCTGAAAACGTATTCCCATGACCAGGCCTAATCTTAAAAGTTTTTATTAGCCTATTAATAGAGCTGACATCACCACAATTTAAAACTTCTTAAGTTGGAATCACTCATACTTTTCTGTATAATTAATAAAGTGTTCATTGAAGAAATGATTCGCTCAATAAGATAAACTGCCCACACCTGGATGGAGCAACAGGCATAAAATAAGTAAGATAACATAATAAGAGTTGTAGCAAAACAAAACAAAACACCTATAGGGATTAAGGTGGGGAAAGGAGTAGTTCCCAGAAAAATAGTTTAGTTCCCCATAAAGATAAAATGGGCATGTGAGATTAAACCAAAAAATAATTTCTGTCTACTACAGCTTGTCATACCATTTGTGAATGAAATGTGAAGAATGATATCCTGTCATTTGCAACATAGATGGAACTGGAGGTCATTAGGTTAAGTGAATAAGCCAGGTCAGCAAGAAAAACTTTGCATGTTCTCATTTATCTGTGGGAGCTAAAAATTAAAACCTTTAAACTCATAGAGATAAAGAGTAGAAGGATGGGTACCAGAGACTGGGAAGGGTAGTGGGAAGATTGGGGCAGAGTGACTATGGTTAATGGGTGCAAAAAATAGTTGGATAGAATGAATAAGATCTAGCATGTCATAGCACATCAGGGTGACTATAGTCAATGCTAATTTATTATACATTGAAAAATAACTAGAAGTGTAGAATTAGATTGTAATACAAAGAAATGATAAATGCTTGAGGTGATGGATACTCCATTTAACCTGATGTGATTATAATGCATTGTATGCCAGTATCAAAATCACTCACGTGCCTCGTAAATATATGCCCTACTATGTGCCCACAAAAATTAAAAATAAAAAAAATTTAAAAGATCAAAATGGTAAAAGTGAATGTGTCTCAAAAAGCCTAAGAGTAGGAGATCAAGGAACCCATAGCATAAACACCTATTTTGCTTTGATAATTTTGTTACCAGCTAACATCCTGGACTACATGTATAATGTAAAGACATAAACTAAATTTGAAAACATTTCTTTACCCAAGCAAAATAAAGCAAACACATGAGGAAATAAAACCCCTACCTAACTGTAATAAAAAGACCAAAAAAATTTCCAAAACTTTCTAAAATGTATGATTTTATTAAGTGTTCTGTTGAATTAAAAGAAGGAAATTGAACAAAAGGGCAGTATTGCTCCTACAAAATGCTCTCCAGTTTTTATTTTAAACTACGACTCAGAAACAAATTAAAGATGCACTTAATCATATTCAAATTCAAAGAGCATAACCATAGGCTGACGCTATTTTATTTTTTTCTTTCCGCCCCCTCCGGTCTTGATAATGCCATGACAACTCATATCAAGTAGAAAATGTTTTGAATATAGTGAGCATGCACACTAGTAATGCTTTAATTATCTTAATGAGTGCAAAAGATTTCTTATTACAGACAAGGGAACAAAATTGCTTTTTACAGATTTACAACTGAGAACAATGAGAAAGTTAATGAGCTATTTATGAGAAAATGCATTTTAAAGAATAATATTCTGGATTCTCATAGATGTAAAAGGCATCTGTCACAAATTTCTAGTATCTTGAAAATGTTTCAGACTCATTGAGAAATCATATTATTAATATTTAGGACTAATGGCAAATTATCATATGTGTAATGTTGTCTGTGATACTATATGTAATGTAAAACGAACACACTTGCAAATTAATTAATATGTCACTTACAATTATCTTCGTGAAGACACAGTCAGGTATAATCAAGCTTAATGCACATATCAGATTTCACGTATCTGATTATAAATTAATCTTTAGCTGTAGGACAAATGACTACAAAATGGCAGTGTAAGTATGGCACATAAGACATGAAATATTAATGAGAACTAGTTGTACTTACCTCTCAACAACATCTAAATAGGAATCTGTTTGCAGACCTTGAGTGGTTGTAGCACATTTCTACTACAGAAAAGAAAATAAATGCAGTGACTTTTAAAATCTCAGTAAGCCCGGCTTTCAAATGTATAATTTACTATTTTATTGGCTGCTTATAAATGGATAATAATAAGCTCCTGGCTGAATGTAAGCTCATAAATGCAGGATCAAAAATGAGGAGAATGCCATAAGATAATAAAAGTATAAGTTTATGGTACTAATTTTCCTCTAAGTAACTACAGTGTGAGTAAAAAAATACAACTATAGTGGTAAAATGTGAATAGAAATTTTGATATTCTGCTTGTGCAGAACAAGGTTTTTATAGGAAAAGAATCTTTGGAAATATAATCACCCATACTTTTGTAACAATGCAGGATCAGCCAGTACTAAGATTGCTGCTTAGGTTGGATGGCTTCAATGGGTAATAATTTTCATATTTATTACTATTTGTTTTTTTGATATATTCCTAAATCTCAAGCATGTATGGATTAGCTAGTCATGTTAATCAATGGTCATGAATATAGAAATATTTTCTCTTAGTGTTTTGATAGAACTATTAATATTTTTGTTCTTTGTTGCTCACATATTTTTAAATACAAAAACAAATATGTATATACATACGTGTGTGTGTGTGTGTGTTTACATATATAACTATTTTGGTACTAATGAACATTGTCACAAATAAATTGTAATTACATAATAGAATTAGTGATCTTATTAGTATTTTATTTATTATACTGAATATAGTTTTGTCCAAGTTGACTTAAATACATTGGCATCCAGGATATTACAAAGATTTGAAGATGTTAGCTGAAATCAACTTTATTTAATTTAGTAAATCTTCATTGTGATGCCATTGTGGTAAGAGAAAACAAAGCAGAAAGGATATTTACCCATTTTTATACATTAATTATGAACTAATATTTTTCTGATTATACAAAAAAATAAAGACGATGATTTGAAATAAACTCTGTTTTAAATATATCAATAGCATTTGGGAAATTATAAAGTTTGTACTGGCTTTAGACATCGCTCACAGGTATCAGGCATTTCATATAATTATTTCTAAGACTCCATGATCTCCAGACTCATATGGCCAGATACCTACTAAAAATTTGTACATAGATATCTAATGGGCATCAAAAACTTAACGCATGCAAAACTGAGCTCCTGGTTTTCCCTCAAAATCTGCTCCTCCCAACTGCTTTCTCCTTCTCAGTAAATGGCAGTGCCATCATTAGATCTGCTAAGAACAAAAATCTTGAATTCATTTGTTTTACTTAGAATTTAAGCTAAAATACAAGTAATGGAGACCTGATTACAGTGGTTTAAACATAAGAATGATTTTTTCCTATTTGACAAATATTTTAGATATAGACAACCACTGTTACCAGTTTAGGGCTTAAAATGCATCATTTGCAAACATCTTGGTATTTTAGTCCATATTCCAGATAGCAGAAAGGAACAAAAGATGAGTACATGCTATATAATGTGCATATTTCACGTTGCATGCCTGTATCAGAGTATCTCATGTACACCATGAAGATGGACCTCTACTATGTACCTACATAAAATTTTAAAAACAAAAAAATTTTTAAAAAGAAAAGATGAGTACAATAAAGTAAACATTCTAGCTAAGCAACTCATTTTAAAGTGCATTCCCAAAAGCTCCACCAGGCAATTTTATCGTTGCATTTTCTTGGCTACTTTCATTTGAAAGAGAAGCTGAGAAATGAATTCTCTTTCTCCTCTTCCTTCTTCCCCTCCTCCTTCTCTTCCTTCTTTTATAACTTGAAAATATTCCCACCTCCAATAATAAGGATAATTTGTTATTAAGAAAGAAAATGGCAAGCAGTCAGCAGTCTCTTTTTAATTATTCTTAAAGCCTTTCTCTTAAGCCCTACTTCCAGCCCACAAGAAAACACTGTCATCTCTTCCATGAAAAAAAAATCATATAAAACTCGACACTTTTCACCCCTTCAGCTGCTACAGCTTTGCTCCAAGCCAGTATCTGTCACCTGTGTTATGGCAATAGCCTCTAATTAGTCTCTGTTTTGGCCACCACCACGCTATGATCTATTCTCAGTGTGGCAGCCATACTGATTCTTCTAAAATGTTTTGTCATACCTCTCCACTGCTCAAAACTTTCCAATGCTTTTTATTCCACACAATGTAAAGTTAAGAGTCCTAATAGCAAGTTAAAAGGTATTACTTCAGAACTCTCTATTTTCAGCCCCTACTGTACTCTCCCTTCTCTCTTATATATTTGAAAACACAAGGTATCATTCAAGGGCAGTGTCCACAATGAAGGGAGGCAAAAAGAATACTACGTGGACATGAGATGATGACGGAAATATTTAAAGGAGGCAGTATTAGGCCCCCTGGGCACTGGGCATATGGATAGATAGAATTATAAGATTGAGAGTGTAAGTGAAGAAAACAAACAAACAAAATGTGTTTCTGTATCACTTGTTATTTGCAACTCTGGAGGAAGACATCATTACAGTATGTTACATGCCAACATGAGATAGTTCAATGGAGTACAGTTGAATATATTTTATGTTCTGGTAAATAGAGTATCTAAGATGATTTATTTCTCTGTTTCACATTGTCCCAATGGGCCATGGAGTAGAACCAGAAATTTCTGCATGCCCTACCTAATGGGAAGGTGTAAGAGCGTTGAGAGAACTGATGGCCAAAATAGGCCCGGGCTTATGACAAAGAAGGTTCAAAGTCTGTGATTCTTATGAATACAGGCCACTGCACATTCCAGAAATGTCAGCAGTCAAAGTTAGCATATGTCCAAAATTTAGGACAAGCTCAGTTGCAACAAAGTAGTTAAGGTAGGGACAGAGGGTGGCACCACAGACCAATTGTGATAAGTCATTCTAGCAGACAATGATGATGCTCCAGAGGATAGTACATAAATAAGACATCACTCCCAATGTTTTGCAATTTCTCCTGCACCCAGGCACAAGCAGAAACAAGAATATAGGAGTATAACACTAATAAATGCTTGTACTGTATAGGATTTGAATGTGTACAATTTTTGATTTACTCACTAAAACTCAAAGTGCAGAAATATTACTTCTTGTATTTCCTTTATAAGTGATGTCATAGATGGCCCATGACAAAATGGAAAAGTAGACAGAAGAGGATGTTTGCCTTTTAAAATAACATCATTTTTTCCGTATTACTTGAACCTCTTTCAGTACTCAGGACTTCACAGGCAAAGGAGCAGCACGTCTGGTTAATAAAGAAAAATAATATTTCTTTTTAAGGAACTGAATATGTTAGACCTCCAGAGAACATCTGAATTTTAAAATGAGGGACATCTGTAGAGTATGATATCTAAAAGAAGTTAGTAGAGGATTTTAGTATTTCATTATGCAAGTCACATATATTTAGCAAAGGAGCTCTGTATTGACACAATTCTCATCAAACTTTATAAAGCTAACTCCCTTGCCTATTCTGCCTATGCAAAAATTCTGTCCATAAAGGCAGGATAATATATTTGCTACTTATCTTCAAAGGAAACAGAAGACCTGCTAAGCCTGGAATTGAAGAATATTTAAGGAAAGGACTATTCCGCAAATTATGGCAAGATTAAGAGAACCAATGAGGCAGATTGAGGCATCTGGTAACTAGCAACAGAAAGAAGTCCTTGTAACCATTGGCTCTCAAGGGACAAAAAGGAAGAAATGGTGATATTGAGACCATTAGCTCTAACAATGGTTAGAGCTAAAGCCATACAAAGGAGGCTGCCAAACAGGAGCTATATTTACTCATTTTTTTTTGTTCTGTGCACCTCTTTGTCAGTAAAAAAAAAAATGGATCCCTTCACAGAATACTAATTTTAAATGCCAAAATAAAATACATAGGATTAAGAAGCAAAGGAAAGTAATCTCACAGTTGATAGACAAGTATTTCTTAACATAAGAAAGTAATCTCAGAGCTGACTGACAGGTATTCCAGAATCACAGAGACTTGCTTTTTCCAAGCAGTAAGTACATTAGTTTGTTGGATAATACCTTCTAAATATAATCAAATGCAAATTTTGTAAGTTTAGTTAGTCTTTGATATTTGCACAGAGAAATTAATTTGGGGGGCTTATTTACTTAAATGTTGTGATTAGAAAATTAGTTGTTAATTATATCAAATTTACTTTTATCATTTATTAAGATCATTTTTCATTTTTATCAAAATGGTGAATTAGCTAAAATAGATAAAACTATGACTCTATGATCTCTGCATTCCCAGGTTAATCTTAATTGATCATGATGTAATTTTTATGCATGTATTACAGGAGGCAATGCAGTTACATATTATCAAAAATGTGTGTGTCAGTGTCTATCAGTGAGGTGAATTGGTATGCTTATTTTCTCCTAGATCTGTCTTTGTCAGACATTGGTTACAATGTTATGATGATTTAGTAATAATGAAAATAAACAAAGTAGCACACTACCAGTGTGCTAAGCATATTTCACTTATTCTTGAATCTTGAAAAAAAAGCATAATTTTTTTCTTTGTTCTCTATACTTAGGAATAGCTAAATAGCAACAAAATTATCTGTTCTTAAACATACTGCAAAAACTGCCTGCAAAATTTTCTGGGCCAGAAAAAATTCATAGTATAACCCTTTGAAAATGTACTCAATATTGTATATAATACTCATCTGATTAGCTTTTCTACTGCTTCTTGAGTCAATTTATTGGTAATTATAATTTTCTTATAAATTAATCATTTTACTCAAATTTGTATAAAGTCAGTTCAAAGAATAATTAATTTTACTTTTATTTGCTTTGTTGAGTGTTTTTCTGTTACTCTGTTTTTCATTGTAATTGTGGGCTTTTCTCTTCATAAATTTTATTTTGCAATTGATCTCACTTAGAATAATTTATTGCCTATTAGTTTACTTTTTCTAATACTTTAATATAATATGCATATTTCTCCACTTTTACTTAGGGTTTTTTTTTCTTTCTTTTATCTTTCTTTTTTTTTTTTTTTTTTGAAGACCGAGTCTTGCTCTGTCGCCCAAGCTGCAGTGGTGCTGTCTCAGCTCACTGTAACCTCCACCTCCTGGGTTCAAGCGATTCTCCTACCTCACCCTCCTGAGTAACTGGGACTACGGGTGCACGCCACCACACTGGCTAATTTTTGTATTTTTAGTAGCCATGGGGTTTCACCATGTTGGCCAGGATGATCTCGACCTCCTGACCTCCTTATCCACCCACCTCAGCCTCCCAAAGTGCTGGGATTACAGGCATGAGCCACCGCGCCCAGCCTACTTAGGTTTTTATCTTAAGCAAAACAATTAAATTTCTCCTTTTATTGTGTTTAGAAAGAAATTTGTTTAAAAGCTATAACGTATCTACTGTGCTTATCTCATGAGCTGTGATAATCTCCTGATTATTTTCTGGATAGACATAAGTGCTAGTGTTGATTTACTCATCAACCTACAAGTTGTTCAAAAGAGAGCTCCCCACTGTTCTATCCATGGTTCAATGTTTTTGTTTTCTTACTAAGAACTAAAGTTCTCTGTTCATCCATTATGTGAGATGTGAAAATGCAAAACTCCCACTCCCATCAATGCAATTAAAACTATGTATAATGTTTATTGTCTGATAATTTTTTTTTCCTTGCATACATGCTCATTTTAACAAACCAACTAGAGTGCTTTTCTTTCAGAATGATGACATGTAGTGTTTCACAGAGACACTCCCTTGTGAAAAATGCCTAACTAGCATAAAAACATTTAAAATCACAACCACTTAATGTCCCTAGAAATCGTCCTAATTAACAAAACTAAATTATTTTAAAAATCTACTAAAACTTAGTAAGAGCACAGAGACCCCATGGTATCTGAGACCTTCTCCTTCACCTATCCTGGGCTCATCTTGACAGAAATTTTATATCGGGTGGATATAGCCAAGAGGATAGACTCTCTACTCTCAAATCCAAATTAAGGTTTACTCTATCTCTCACCTAGAGGGGTAGGTCATCAACATGTTTTATCTCCTCCAACTCCTAGCTAAAGAGGCCAAATTAATAGTGAGTGTGACCAAGAAGTGGGACCTTTTACCTACACCCAGTCTCTACATAGAGGATAGAAGCTCTAACCCAAATGTGGTAAGCTGAGAATTCTGGGACCCCCAAATGCTATTGCCCTAGCTCATTTATTGGGCAGTTTCCATGTTAGGAGAGGCAAGCATAAGAGAGCACAGTCTAGTGGCCTGCCTAGTGCCCAGAGTAGTTAGTCATATAGTTAGCCAGAGAGAAGGGAAGAGTATAAGGAAAGAGAGCTATGAAGCTCCCCTTACAAAATATGACTTTATAGAACATGTAGGAGTTTTAAATTAAGGACACTCTCAGTAGCAATGGCTCTTCTCAATCAAGATCAGCAATCTGAAACATAGGCCAGATACTTTACCAGAATGTATGAAAAAATGTAGCTAAGAATAGCGACCCTAAAGTCATGACAAAGTTTAAAGACTGGCCTTAAATACTATTCCTGACCCAACTTATCTGGATCAAATTGCTGAGCAATACTTCACTCAGGGTATTGCTGAATACAATAGAGAAATCAGCTGATAATGAAGCTGAACTGGAGGGAAATAATACCAAATGATGCAGAGAGTTTTACAGAAAAAGTATGAAAAGAGATAATCAAAGAGATCTCTGACAAAGCCACTACAATCTCAGGGTGATTATACACAGCCATGTAGGTGACTTCAAAGGAGGAACACAAAAGGCTTCAAACTGCTGTAGCAATCAATTTCACTAAAATGGCCTAGCCAGGTTAAAAATAATAATAATAACAAAGTAAGCAACAACAGAAACAGAGACAGGAAAAAAAAAAAACTTAGTACCCCAAATTGCCACAATATATGACCTATAACGTTCAGTTATCAAAAAACTACAAGATATGCAAATAAATAGGAATGTGTGAATGATACACAGAAAAAAGGAAACAATGGGAAAAGTATGTAAAAATGAGGAGCTATCAGATATAACAGAAAAAGACTTAAAGGAGCCATGATAAATATGTTCAAATAACTATCATGAAGATCTCTATTAACAACTGAACATCAAATGTAGAAGAACTAGAAAAGTAAGCATAAACCAACTCAGAAGCAAGCAGAAAACAAAAGAAATAAGCAAAATTAGACCTGAATACAATTGACACAAAAAATACAGAAAATTTTTATAAAACTAGGTTTGTTTTTTGAAAGAATAAATAAGATTGATGGACTGCTAGCTAGAATAATAAAGAAAAGAAAAAAAAAGACAAGATCCAAGTAAATACAACCAAAAATGACAGAGGACATTATCACAACATTCACAGAAATGCAAAAATCATCAGTGACTATTACAAACACCTCTATGAACACAAACTAGAAAACCTAGAAAAAATGAATAAATTCCGAGAAGCATACAACCTCTCAAAATTGAACTAGGAAGAAATTCAAATGCTGAACAGACCAATAATGAGTTCCAAAATTGAATCAGTAATAAAAAGCCTACCAACCAGAAAAAGCCCAAAACCAGATTAATTAAAAGCTGAATTCTACAAGATGTATAAAGAAGAGCTGGTACCATTCTAACTGAAGCTGTTCCAAAAACTTAAGAGGAGGGATTCCTGCCTAACTCTTCTATGCGGCCAGCATTATTCTGATAACAAACCTGGCAGAGACACAATGACAACAGCAACAACAACAAACACTGCCAAAATGCTCAAAAAAAAAAAAAAAAAAAGAAAGAAAGAAAGAAAAAAAACTGGCAAAATGAATCCAGCAGCACATCAAAAAGCTAATCCACCATGATCAAGTCGACTTTATCTTTGGGAGGCAAGGTTGGTTCAACACATGCAAATCAATAAATGTGGTCTATTACATAAACAGAACTTTAAAAAAATGATCATCTCAATAGATGCAGAAAAGGCTTTCAGCAAAAATCAGCATTCTTTCATGTTTAAAACTCTCACCAAATTAGGCATTGAAGAAACATACTTCAAAATGATAAGAGCCATCTATGACAAACACATGGCCAACATCTTAGGAAACAGGCAAAAACTGGAAACATTCCCCTAGGGAAATGGAACAAGACAAGGGTGCCCACTCTCCACAATTCTAGTGAACATCGTACTGAATGTCCTAGCCAGAGCAATCAAGCAAAGAAATGAAAGGCAACCAAATAGGAAGAGAGGAATTCAAACCATCTCTCTTTGTAGTTGATATGATTTTATACCTAGAAGACCTCATAGTCTCTGCCCCAAAGTTCTTAGATCTGGTAACCAGCTTCAGAAAAGTTTCATGATACAAAATTATTACCGGTAGTGGGTCTTGACTACACACTCTCTAGGTCCTTGGCGTTTTAAACAAAGAATTGAACAAAACGCACAAAGTAGCAGAGAAATGAAATGCAAGAACGAAGCAGTGAAAGCAAGAATTTATTAAAGCGAGAAAGCACTCTGCAGGGAGGGAGTGGGTCCCAGCAAGCGGCCCCATGGCCCAGTTACAAAAGTTTCTGGGCTTTAAGAACTCTGTTTGAGGTTCTTGGACTACCCCTTATCTGGATGAAGGATTTGGTCTGTGGTTAAAGGCTGCTGTGAATTGGTGCCCAATGCAGATAAAGGGATGGTCCCTGCTTGGCCTGTGGCTAATCCAAGGTACTCTCCCTTTCCAACTGAGATGGTGGAAGGGGGAGGGAGGGTTGTTGGGAGAGTAGCCTTTGTTCCTTTGTTACTCCCTGTGGGAGATGGGGTTTTTCCTTTTGGTTTAGCTTTAGGAATTTTGTGTTAATTGGCCTTAGGTTCCCTGCCCCCAGACCCAGGTGTTTTCCTTTTGATCCAGCTTTGAAAAGTCAGAGTGAATTGCCCTTAGATTCCTTGCCCACAGAGCTTGATGTTTTTCTGTGACTCAGCACGAATTGGCCTTAGGTTACCTGCCTCCAAGCCCTATTCTCCTGCCTAAAAATCAATCTGCAAAAATAAGTACCATTTTATACACCAGCCACATCCAAGCTGAGTGTCAAATCAAGAACACAATTCTTTACAAAATAGCTGCAAAAAGAATAAAATATTAGTACCTAGGAATAAAGCTAACCAGGGACGTGAAAGACCTCTTCAAGGAGAACTACCAAACAGTGCTCAAAAAATCAGGGCACAGTGGCTCACGCCTGTAGTCCCAGCACTTTGGAAGTCCGAGGCAGACATATCGCTTAAATCCAGGAGTTTGAGATCAGCCTGGGCAACATGGCGAAATCCTGTCTCTACAAAAAATACAATTAGCGAGGCAGGCGTGGTGGCACGCAACTGTGGTCCCAGCTACTCAGCAAGCTAAGATAGGAGGATCCCTTGAGCCAGGGAGGTGGAAGTGGCAGTGAGCTGAGATCGCAGCACTGCACTCCAGCCTCGATGACAGAGTAAAACCCTGTCAAAAAAAAAAAAAAAAAAAAAAAAAAACAGAAGAAGATGAT